>NC_000003.12:162796483-163099513 GCF_000001405.40 Homo sapiens
AGGGTAGTTTTGATCCCCCATCATACACTTGGAAATGTCTGAAAATATTTTTTTTTTTGGTTGTCACATCAGAATTATCTGACCTAAATAGTCAATAGAACTAAGGTCGAGAAACCTTTATCTAGAGAGACTTTTAAGTATTTGGATATTTTGCTTCCTTTGTAACACACAGCTCTGATATTAAAATAGGCCAGTTGTCTAATGGGGCAGTTTGATTTTCACTGCTTGTCAGTTTCACTTAGTTGGCATTGTTCAACAAGACAACCATACAGCGTTCTCATAATCATGGCATTTATAGTGGCAACCAAATACTTTCCTTAACTTCGGTTTGATACAGCTGTTAATTCCATAGACGTGCTTTAGCTTGCATTTCAATGCTCTTTTTGAACAAATTTTTCATTTTATTTTCTAGGTTTTGTATGTATAGCGCTAAGACATAGGTTTCAGAATTTGCATGCTGAGTTTGTTTATCTGGTGTGAATAGTAATGGATTTTTAGAGGAAATAACCTAGGTGTTCTGCTAAGATATTTTGATGATTTTCTGCAGAGTGGTTTTTGTCCTGGTATCCTTGGTACCATTCTGGGTACCAAATGTTTGTTTCTTAATCAAGACTATCTACTTGGCTTCTTTGATGTGTATTCCTATTGATTTGTTGTCACTGAAGAGATGATCAATGGATCTAAACATGATACTGGTGGCTATAAATGGACAAATGTTTCATTTCATTGCACTGCTCAGTGTGTTTCTAAACTATAGTCTATGTGATGGAATGAATAGGATATCAGCTGCAGTCGCTGTCATTCACAGTGAGGTATTTCATGAAGCCAGACACAAACCAAAGAAACCCGGAGGATTTATTACCTGCTGCTTCCTTAGTGCAATAAATGGTGGTACAGTATAACATTTAAAAAGAAGCAAAATAAAGAAAAACAACAACTGCAAACCTTGACTAAATGTGTCCAAGGCAGGAGAGGAAGCCATGTGGGGAAGGATTGAACATCATTAGCAAAGACAGAGTACTTAAATCCTGTCTATTAATTTTCATTAGCAAATGGGGACAATAGCAGCTTGTATAGTGTCGGATTATTTTTTGTCCCTTTTTCTGGTTGGTTTTATTGCTGAAAATCATCAAACTCTGCACTATATTTCTATTTAACATTAATGAACATCTGGAATAATATATTAAAAAATTAATGTTTCCAGAAGTGTTTTTCTTTTAACATTGAAAATATCTTTTAGGAAGAAGAAAAGAGTGGAGAAGATAACGAAGACAAATATGACAAAATATTTTGCAGTATTCATTACCTCTGCTTCTATCTTATCTTTATCAACATATTTAAAAGTGCCCAGATTGTTTATAAAGATTTATGCTTTTCATATAGTAGCCCTTTGTACCATCTTTTCTTATATGAGTGAAAAGTTTAATCACTCTTTCTTTATAATAATTGCAAATAATTATGATTCTGAAATGAACCAAGTCAGCAGGTGTATTTGAATAACATAATAAACAAAATAAAATTTCTAATTAAGAATGAAAACCTTAACATTCAGATAGCTAACTAAGTTGAACCCAAGACAAAGATTCTTACACTTAGGTAATAAATACAGATAAAAAGCTTCTATATTCATCTTTGTATGACCCATTTTCTTTCAGGTAAGAGTCAAAATTTATTTTTTCTGGAGCCTACTAATATTTTGCATTCAAAGAAATTTCAGTCATCTACATGGTTTGCTTTTGTATCAATATTTTAAGGCAATTGTTTATTGTTTCTGAAACTAGTTGCAATGTTTAAACATCATAACTCATTTTTGCCTTCAAAAATGTTCAGTAATTGATTAGCTCCAATTTGAGCAAAAGTAAGTGAGTGTGCAGGTATGCATGTCCTTATATAGGGGTGTATCTTTAAAAATTATCTCAATATAATAATAAAATTTCTTAAACATTGTAAGACAAGAATTTAAATATAAGACATTGACTAATTCATCTCAACAAATTGTGGTTCTCAGCATCAAGTTCAATAGGAAATACACTTTTTGTTAGCTAAAGGATTCTAATAAACTGATATTATTCTTGAAAATAAATTGAGACTTATTAGATTATATATTATACTTATGAACTCTTACTTTGTGTATTTGTATATGTGTTTACATGCTTCTTCACCTATGATGAGGTTATGTCCTGATAAAATCACCATTAGTTGAAAATGTCTTAAGTAGAAAATGCATTTAACACACCTAACATACCAAAAATCCTAGCTTAGCCTAGCCTACCTTAAATGTTCTCAGAATACTTACATTAGTCTACAGAAGGGCAAAACCATCTGGGGGGTATACTATTCTATAGAGAATTGGTTGCTCACTCTTGTGATCACATGGCTGACTAGGAGCTGTGGCTCACTGCTGCTAACCAGCAAGGCAAGAGAGAATCCTACCACCTATTGCAAGCCCAAGAAAAATCAAAATTAGTGATTCAAAGTATGGCTTATACTGAATGTGTATTGTTTTTGCAGCATGGTGATATTGAAAAATCATAAGTCAAACCATTTCAAGTTGGAGACCAATTGTATTTTTAGAATATATTTTCCATTAATCTTTGCTAAAAAAGACTAAGCAAGAAAACATATTCCACATAATAAATAATAATTTAGTAATACAATAAATATTGCACATATTTATTTCACAGAATATGTAAAACTAAACAAATTCACATCCATAGACTTTAGTGCAGATTTACATTTGTGACATTATATTATTAATTTGTTACCTCTATTTTTGTAACCAATTTCCTTTAACTGTACTCTTTCACTTTGCATATACCATTGGATGCAAATGCTTGGCACTTATACTTTCATGTCTTTGAAATTTACCTTTGTTTTTCCTTTCCAATTTCCCTGCATTTATTTAAGGCATCATCAGTGCCATCCTGACATAACTAACTAGGAGTCAATTGTGATACCTACTTTGACTCCATTTGTAGAAGGAGTAAGTTTATCTAGAGGATATTGTCCTCTGTGGGAATGTAGAAAAGTTTTTTGTTAGTTTGTGTTATTATTCCCTATAGGAAATTTTAGCAAATGCTTCAAAAATATACAAATAACCTTATTTTCTTCAAGGATTCCATGGTAATGAAGGTTTGGCAACTCTTAAAAATGCCTGGGTGATGAAAAATCTGTACAACAAACCCCCATGACACAAGTTTACCTATGTAACGAACCTTATTTGTACCCCTGAACTTAAAATAAAAGTTAAAAATAATTAAAGAAACAGCACCAAGAAGAAAAAAACAAAACCCAAGAAATTTACATAAATACTTTGGGCAGCTGTGAAAGTGATTCTACCTGGGCCAAAAATTTAGCTTCATAGTTACACCTGCTTGGGACTTCCCCAAGATTGGTCTTTAAGGCTCCCAATAATTGACCACAATCTCAACATATTCAGGACTCCCTTTTGTACTGTGTATACTTCAACTCAACTAAAACACTTAATCTCTGTCCCTGAAAACACTCCGCACTTTCCCCATCTATGCTCATGATTTTCTATTTTTTTCTTATCTTTGGAATAATTTATTTCCCCAAATTTACTGTCAATTAAATTTCAAACTTAAATAGTACCTCTATGCTGCCACCTTCCAGTTCTCAAGTGAATTTTACTTCCGACTTCACTGATATTTTCTAATATAGGGTTTTCTTTTTTCCTGTGGACTTTGTCATAAATAATATACTTAGTGAAACTACTTGTACATAACACAAATTTTATCTTAAGTCTCAGTTATTTGAAAGCAGAGATTGTGCACCATTCATTTTTTACATAGCTGTTCTTAACAAAAAATTGATACATGCCAAATAACATATTTTCACAGGATTTTATCATATATATATTTAATTTAAAAATATTTCAAAAAATTATATATGTACATAGTAAATATATTTCACCCAGTTAAAATGGTTTATATCCAAATGATAGGCAATAAAAAATTGCTGGTGAGGATGTGGAGAAATGGGAACTTTTGTACACTGTTGATGAGAATGTAAAATAGTACAACCGCTATGGAATACACTTTGGAGGTTCCTCAAAGAACTAAAAATTGAGCTACCATATGACCCAGAAATCCCACTACTGGGTATATACCTCCAAGAAAGTAAATCAGCGTATCAGAGATATCTGCACTCCTATGTTTTTTATGCACTGTTTACAGTGGCTAAGATTTGGGGGCAGCCTAAGTGACCATCAACAGATAATTTGATAAAGAAAATGTGGCACATATACACAATGGAGTACTATTTAGCCATAAAAGAGAACGAGATCCATTTGCATTTGCAACAACATGGATGGAGCTGGAGATCATTATGTTAAGTGAAATAATCCCGGAACAGAAAGACAAACATCACATGTTCTTACTTATTTGTGGTATCTAAAAATGAAAACAATTGAACTCTTGGACATGGAGAGTAGAAGTATGGTAATCATGTTATAGAAAGCACGTTATATGTAATTTATAACTGTGGCAGTCATGGAGCTAAACTGCTTTATCTCCTCTCGAGGGACAAATTCTCACAAGGAGGGTGGCTACTAGCCTCCTAGTTGTGAGATCTCCCATTGAGGATGAGGCCGTGAGCATCCTGGGAAGCAATGGCAAAGGATGGTAGAGGTACAAAGGGGGAAGGATGACTTGTACAATTTGATAAATGAAGTCTTTGAAAAATTCAGGAAGAACAATACATATAAGCATAATGGAATTGTCTGGGTCTGGTACACTGATGTCCTACAGAGAGATGATAACAAACTGGGTGTGGCTGAAGGTGCAAGCCAGAAAACCTCCACTGCAGATTTCAAAGGGGCCTTTTTTTGTCTCTTGCAGTGTGAGGTAGGACGTTTTGTAGCTCAGTGACCTTAACAGTAATATTAAGACTCTGAGGAGCAGACTCACATTATTACTCTTAGGTCATTGAGGTAAAAAGCTTTAGAATGCTCTATCTAGGCTGGTGTGTTATGCTATGTGCACAGCCCTAACTGAGAAAATATGAGTTACTGAAGCTTAGGACGCACTATGGTCTGAAAGTTTGTGTCTCCTCAAATTTAATATGTTAAAATCCTCATGCACAAGATGATGGTATTAGGAGGTAGGGCCTTTGGAAGGTGATTAGATCATGGGGGTGAATTCTTCATAATGGAATTAATGCTGTTGAAAAAAGAGGCTCCAGGAAACGTGTTTGTCCTTTCATCATGTGAGGATGCAGCAATAAAGCACGATCTATTAAGAAAGGAGTCCTCACCAGGCACTAAACATGCCGGTGCCTTGATTTTGGACTTTACCAGTTCTAACACTATGAGAACTAAGTTGCTGTTATTTGTAAGCCATCTAGTTTATTTTATTTTGTTAGAGCTGCCTGAAAAAACTAAGACAGATTGGGAGCATTTCCGTGAATTCCTCTGATAATTGTAACTCTGAACCCTGAGTTCTTAGAGGGGGCTCACCCTTTCCTATCATGAACTAGCACTCCGGAGGCCTCCTCCCTACAAGCGATAGGTTCTTCTCAAGAGGTGTTCCTACTTTAACTTCCGGTTGCCAAGTTGATGAATAGGATAAAATCTCTGAATAACCTTAATCTATTACATATATGTCCATTTTGATCTGGGTTTTAGCAGATTAATGAAGTCTTCAAATTAAGCAGATCCAGTAGCAGTTCATTGCCGTACAGAAATGGCACATTAAGGATCCAGCCTGAGAAGGACTAGAAGGCATAAATAAATGGCATGAACGTACAGCCTAGATTCCCATGTCATCAACCACATTTGCATTTCTCTCTCACCTTGTACTTTTGGATGTATGAAAGAAATAGAAAAAATCCAAGCTTGGTTTATGAATACATTGGCTCAGTATATAAATGCAAACCAAAAATAAAGGGAGTCTACATTACAGCCACACTCAGTGGTGGCTTTGAATGACAGTGAGTGAGAAAAAAAAAATCTTCCTAATGGACAGAGTTTCTAGGGATACAACTGTTCATCTACTTTACATAAATCAGATGTGGCCAAAACTGAGAATATATATGTAATTACGAGCTGTTGTGAATGTCCGGGAAGTTAAAGAACTGAAATACTAGATAAAATGAGGTATAGAGAAGAGGCAAGTGGATGGACATATGCAAATGAGCAACAAGAATGAAAATTTTTCTGTCAGATATTAATGGCAACCAGAGCGTACTCACCATGGAAGAGAGGCACCAAACAACCAAGCAGACAAATTACTCAGCCAGCTGACCTTAAATAATAGCCTTTCTCCTTGGCTCCTCTGGACTTTGCATGACAATCATAGAAACAGAATAACAACCATGGTGACCACACATAAGCCCAACAGCATGGACTTATATAACCTAGTTTCTGCCTTCTCAGAATATTCAATATGTCATCAAAAGAGACAAATTTTGAGCACTATTATGGTAATTTTCCACTGGAAGGCAAATAATCCATTTGGTGGTAAATAGATTCTATTAAGTTTTTCCATCTTGGATGGGGTAAAAATTAATTCTCACAGGAATTAACACCTATTTGGTATACATATTGTTTGTTATTTTGTTTGTTTAGTACCTAAAGCGCCTCAGCCAGCACCACTCTCTAGGGACTTACAAAATGCCTGATGCACAGGCATGAAATTTCACACAATAATGTATCTAGTCAGGGGAGACATTCATAGTGAGGAAAGTGCAGGACAATCCAACTCGCACATACACTCAACAGAAAAAAAATAGTATGGTTATTTCTTGAGGAAGAAATCCCAATAAAATTTACATTACTATTATACACATATTAAGCTTTCCCTATCTATTCACAAAAAAAAAAAAAACAGAATTACAGTAATAGTGGCCTCTATGTAATAATTGCAGTGGAACTGTATGTTCTGGGTATAAGATTAAAAATAAAATTTGGTGGTACAATCACATATTTTCTAAACACAGATTATGATTTAATATCAAGAAGCCTCCCTGGGCTGCATGTGGCTCATGGGTTGGACAAGCTCGATTTAAAGCATTCTTTCAGGTACAAGCATGATTTGAGGAGCTTTAGCGAAATTATGTCTGCCCCAAATATCTCACCCAATGTCCCTAAATATGACCTTAAACTCTAACATTTTTAAATATTAGTTCATTGCTACATATTTGCATATTCAATGTAAGTGCAAAATTATTAAAGATGTGTTAGAAGTAGAGGTGTTGGTTCCAGAAACAGAAATCTATATCGCTAGAGTCAATTCCATATATATATTGATGAGAAACATAAATTATTCCACCAACAAAAATCCTCTCTCTAGCAGCATAGAAGAAAGAACCATTTTATAATCAGGTATTAACTGAATTCGTGCATGTAAGGTAGCACAAGAGTAATTACAGATTCTGGACAGAATTTTATACACTTTTTACAAAAAAAGTTAAAGAGATAAAAATTAAAATTTCTCTCATTCCCTTGAGAAACAAGAGGACATACCTTGTGACTGCTTCCAATACCTCTCCCGAGGGCCTTACAAATTAATTTTGGAAGTATGTGTTTACAGTTTAAGAATCAAACTCCTCAGTACCTCTTGTAAAATCAAAAGGCCTTACATTTTCAAGACCCATAGAAAGTGGAGAGGCAGTGCCACCCTGTTCTTTAGTAACAAAGAAGTCCTAATCAATACACATTTTATATTCATACACACATTTTCACTATGGCATTAAAGAATATAGGTATAAAATATTCAAATATTCAAACATTTTTCTCCCCCATGGATCTTTCTTTTTTCTTTTGCACCAATGGATCTCAAATTCCCTTTGGTAATGCTTTGTATTTATGAATAAACATTTATTAATATAGATAGAGAGCAAAGGTTTTTCACCAGTAATAAAGTTCTATTTCCTTAGGAGACTATTTCCTTGAGCGGAAGAGTTGAATGAAAATACTGTTTAAAGAAGGTGACTAACGGAATAGGTTGATTTTATTTTCAAACTCACAGAATTGGAAGTAGGCTGATCATTAAATGCCACAATAAATGTGACTTCTCCCTGACGACCCAATATCACAATACAAGGCCTATCACTTCCCAGACAAATCACTTCTTTTATTGTTTTATTCTAGACACAGAGGCTGGTGCTGCCGGGGTTTTATTTTCCTGAAAATGTAGAAAGAATGAAAGATCTAGCTCTGCTATTCACTATCCAGTCCTTTGTTTAACCTCCTGAATTTCTCTCACACAATCCATTCTTGTTTTCCATACTGAACACAACTTGTGACATTTACTCCACTTTCATTGAACCATCAGTGGGATTTCTGCCTTTTGGGGAAAAAAAATGGTCTTGTACTGTTTTTAATGTTTCTACTCTCAACGGAATTCTGCATTTATCACTTTTTCTCCTCATTTTTTTGTCTTTTTTCTGAGATTTGGGTAGGAGGGAATATAAAGTTCCAGAGTTGCCATCTTAAACTAGAAGCACAAACTTCAGTTCCGACCTGTGCTGGATCTGGTGCTTCATTTCTACCATCTGAAATAGTCTCTATTCTCTGCCATATCCCTTTCACATGCTTGAGAAAATCCTTATGTAAACTTTCAGACACAATTAATCTTCCCTCTAGATTGGCATCAGATACACCTTCCTATATTTGAGACTCTACCAGTGTATAGTTCTCAGTGGAAAGCAGTGGTCTGTGTTCTACTACCAAACCCAAATGGTTCAGATGCTAGATTTCCTTGTACCTTTGATAACTGGCATGCAGAGTGTAGATATTTGAACCAATATTTGCAAATTTGATAAACCATCTGGGACTTCGAATTCAGGAAACAACAGTGCACAGAAGCATCATGCTATCTAGGCAATATATTTCTAATATGTTTATCTTCTGCATAGTTAACTTTACCAGATTTCTCATGTATTCAACCGAAATCACTCACTGATACAAACAAAGGCAACAGAGTACAGACTTCTGGAAAGAGATCCTCAGAAAGTAGTGGTAATTTGGGGTTGGGAATTTTGCTTAATTCAGGCTGAATGTAGTATATATTTAGTTTTATTTTTATATTCTGCCAGTCCAAGGTATGCAGTAGTGAAAGAGTTAATTAAGTTGATGTATAGAATCTCCTAGAGTGAGGTGCTCATTGAAACTTTTGGCATTTTAGTTGGCTACTCCCTAAATAGCAAAAAGGACAGGAGAAATTCAATAAACTACAAGGTGAATTGGCTACCATCAATGACACAAAAAAACTTAGAGGAAAAAAAAACATATTAAAATGTGTTTATTATTTCCCAACGCAGGAACTATCTGTGACCTTGCTAAATAATATCTTTCCTCTTGTAGTTTCAGAGTAAGAAAAACAAATTAAAAGTTTGATGCTATGATTTGCTGAATTACTCCTTTATTTTATCAAATTGAAACACTGGGAGATATTAAAATAATACACTATTACTTTCTATACCCCTGTGAAAACACTAAAACTGCAAATTAAACTGTGATACAAGGCTTTGATATAAATTATTATTTTTTATTTATCAAAGAGCCCTAGATTTATTTAGACAAAATCTTATATTTATCACTCTTATAGTTCATAACAGAAACTGCAAAGAGTAAATTAGTTGAGGCATGAGTAAATGTCTTTAAACTTAATACCTGAATTTTCAGATCACCTTTCAACTTGGAGTCCATGATATATTGGTTTTCCCTTGTACCCCCGAGACTGTTGATTATGCTGCAACATTTTTTTTTTCCTTAAAAGTTTTAACATTATAACTTCTGGGATGTTTGTCAAAGCTTCTGACACAGAAGTTTTATTGCTAGTTCTTCCAGATTGATTAAACTCTTATCCATTTGCTAATTTGAATTTCATGGAAGTTAAGCAGTTCTGTTCAAATTTTCAAATTTTCTGAGAAACTGGTAGTCAACAATTTAACCATAGTCCTACCTGTCACATTAACCTATCACACCAAGTTCTTGATTCATTAACATTACTTCCTCTCTTCTAAAGGATGTGGCAAATTCTCCTGCCTCCATTTGTATTATCTGATGCCTGAACAGGTACTCTGTTACATCCAATTTAGTGACAAAGTTAACACAACTTTTATTTGTAGGATGTTTTATTTCTGTAGTACCTTAAAGCAGTGCTTCTCATAATGTACATATAACTCATAAGGATCTAGATAAAATGCAGATTATTATATATTAGGTAGGATTGGGAGTGGAGGGGTGGAATGCTAAGATTCTATATGCTCTGCCTATCCCAGATTATCCCAATACATAAGTAGCAAGTATCGGAGCATAAGTCACCCGGATTTTGCTATGTAATGGATTATGGAATTGTAGTAATATCCCCATTAGAATAAAATATACATTTTCTATGCAAGTGGTGAACTTTATTTTTACAAACATATTGATGAAAAGCAAATTGAGACAACATGTGTCTGAAGATTTTCTTGTTTGTTTCAGGAAAGATGAGACTGTAAATTCGTAGGTGACTTTGTACCTTGCTTTGGGAAAGTTCTTGAGACACGTGTGAATGAAAAAAGGCTTACAAACTTTGCCAAATTCCCATCCCATCAGTTTCTTGCCATAAAGGACCCATCTTAAACTACTTGAGCTCAAACTCCTCAGAACCCTAAATAATCCCACTTCTGACTCCCCTTCTGTGACAGTCCAAAGACCTTGTCAAGGTGGTGTATTCCATTACTGAAGTGATGGTGAATAAACTAAGGTTTGCTTTATAACAGGCTATCTGGTGATAATTCATTGAGCTTTAAAAAGCTCAACCTAATCTTTTTGAAGACATTTTGAGTGGCAATTAAATACAACACATGTTGTTTCAACAGTGTAGGTAAATCATTTTAATGATAAGAATATAAAAGACAATGATTATATTTGCACAAGTATAGGTAATAGCAACTAAATCGGGATCTCTACCTTACAGTGTAAGATGTCATGTTTTTGGAGGTGCATCCAGAAATTAGTGATGTTATAAAGTGATATTAAAGTATGCATTTTAGAATCTTTAATAAATAGATTTTTAGTTATTTCTATATGCCACACACATATAAGCACGTTAGTAAGTGAAAAACACTTGAGAATATAATTAAACTACTTAGAAGAACTCTGAAGGCTAAGAGTAAGATTGGCTATATAATTTGTGTGTTCCATAGCAAAATGAAACTGTGAAGACCTCTTTTCAAAAATTAAGAATTTCAGATGCATTAAACCAAACAGAACTTTAAACCAATCATAGGGCTCTTCTAAGAGTGGAGCTCTGCAACTGCACAGGTTGCATGTCCAGGAAGGTGGCCTTGGCTCACCATATCTCGTACATTGAAACCTCAGAGTTCCCATTGCTACAGAGCAACCTTGTGGATCAGAGAACAAATCAAGTAGCTAAGTGATCTGGCTTGAATATTATTTGAGCCACTGACATTTCCATTACATTGAGCAAGTTAGATAGCTATGCTGAGCATCATTTCATGATCTGTCATTTAAATTAAATTACTTTACAATACACGAAGTGCTAAAGCTTCATAAACTCTGATACCCGGAGAGATTTATTTGTGCCCTTCATTTAGCAAGAAGCTAATTCAAGAGTGTTTCTTACTAATTGCAGCAACAGTGATATGCAAACTCTCTAATTGAGCTTCTGAAATTGCTGAAGATTATTTTCTGTGTCACAAAGCATCCACTGTTGCATAGTTGAATGTGTGCTTTTAGCACCTTTGCCATGCTTGACGTCTACTAGCAATCCTTGGCATTCCTTGGCTTTTAGCCACATCACCTTAATCTCTGTCTCCATCTACACATGGCTTCTCTTGTCTATCCTCTCTTTGTCTCTAAACTTCCTCCACCTCTCCTCTATAAGGATACATGTGATTACATTTAGTTAGGAGCCACCCCAATAATCCAGGGAAAGCTCTTTCTGTCAAGATTCTTCACCAGATCTTTTGCCATGTAAGGCAATATTCATTCTTTTTACCATATAAGGTGATAGTCACATATTCTGGAGATTAGCACTGGATATGTATTTTGGGGACCACCATTTAGCCTACCACACTCTCCGTTTATCACTATCATTAGTCTAAAAAGCATTTCTCAAGCTTGTCTGCGGATTGGAAGCTTTAAAAGTTACTAATGCCAGGGCCTCACTCCAGAGATAATCATTTAATTAGTTTAGAGAATAGCCTGCACATCAGAAATCTTTAAATCTCCCTAGCTGATTCTGAAATTTAACGAAGATTGTAAAACATTGAATTAGGTAACAGCCTAAAATTCTCTGAGGATTTTCAATTAAAGACAACTTTGAAAAGAGTGATGATACAAAAAGACCTGCAGCACTTTATATTAGGAACTTACATTAGTAATTCATATTAATGAACATCTGGAGGCTATAAAAAGGGAGGATATTGAGAATGCAATGACAGATTTAGCTGACTTAATCAATACAGGTCTATCTTTTGGAGCTTCTGGATTCACTGTAGTAGCATAAACAGCTGTGGGGGTTCACATTATTGGTGAGATTGCACTGATATCCCATGGCAAATTAAATGAAAATGCTATCAATTCCAGGACAGTAAGTTGAGAAATAAATCCAAACAATTTTGACAGAGAAAAAAAATGCTAGAGTGAATTTAACATGGCCCACCCACTACCTAAATCTCCTATGAGAGCCCAGAGGACACTCTACACCAAGGGCCAGGATATGCTTTGGGGACAGTCGAGGATGTCATCACCTTTGAAAAATGCTTTGTGGTGGTAATTCTCTATAGATCATAGATACTGATACAGGTTCTATTGGTAAAATGGATTCAACTCAACTGCATTCAAGAGAATGAGAGGGCCCCAGGAAGGTGGAGATCAAATACTGGCACAGTAATTCCAGATGCAAGGTAGACAATGTTGCCACAACAGACTGAAGAGCTGGTAAAGTCATCAAAATGGTTTGCCTTAAGGATCTTTGTAGGGTCGAATTTTTCTTGACCCTAAGGAGTAAAATAGCAGGCAGCCTTCCAAAAGGTCATCTTTATTTTAATTAAAAATTATTTCAGTGTGTGCAACTGAGAAAAAAATATATATATATATGTACATATAAACAAATTTTTAGTCATACCACCTAACTCAGTTCCCATCAAATCTGTGAATTCAGAGAGAAATCATTGAATAAAATGATTAAATGGGATAGACACAGTGGCTCACAACTGTAGTCCCAGCATTTTTGAAGTCCAGACAGAGTAGATTGCTTGGGCCCAAGAATTTAAGAACAGACTTAGCAACATAGTATAACTTCCTCTCTATAAAAAATGCAAAATCTAGCTGGGCGTGTTGGTGCACGCCTGTAGTCTCAGCTACTTGGGAGGCTGACATAGGAGGATTGCCTGAGCCCAGGAGGTTGAGGTTGCAGTGAGCTTAGATCAAGCCACTGCACTCCAATGCAGGTGACAGAGCAAGACCCTGTAAAAAAAAAAAAAAAAAAAAAAAAACAGATAACTGTAAGACTTTCCTATAATTTCTGAACTATAGACTTAAGTTCTTCCGCCTAGGCTTTTCTCAATGATACTGAGGGACATTCTTCAAGGTAACTGACTAGGAAGAGCAAAACATCTAGGCATTTTAAGGAATTTTAATCACAGGCTGTTGGTAACACTTTAGACATTGTCACATTGTTAGGTCAAGCAACTACATCATTTTAGAATATCACCAGAAGTATAAACTAGGTCCTATTACTCCACATATTTTCCAGTTAATTGTGATTATTATTAACACTGTGTCTGAATAACTTGTCAAGTCATTTGGGAAAATACAGTTTTGATTCACATTTCCCTTTGTGGATACACCATATTTTAAAATCAACTTATATTTTCTCTCTTGAATTTTTTAAATGTCCTAAGTTTTTGATTGGGTTGTGTGTCTTTTTAATTTTACATTTAGAAATTCATTTTATGTGCTAGATATTAATTAACTTCAGTTATATTTTTGCTATTTTCTCTAATTTAGATATTTAAATAGACTTTATTTTTAGAGCAGCTTAGATTCACGGCAAAATTAAGCGGAAAGTACAGAATTCCTTTATACTTGTTATCCCTAACCTTCCACAGCCACCCCACTATCAACATCTCATACCAGAATGGTACATTTGTTACGATCAATAGACCTGCATTAGCACATCATTATCATGCAAACAGCATTGTTTACTCAAGAGTCCACTCTAACTGTTGTACATTCTATCAGTTAAGACAAATGTATAATGACATGTATCTAGCATTTCAGTATCATGCGCAATAGTTTTACTGCCCTAAAAAATGCTATGTGCTTCACCTGTTGATCCCTTCTTTCCCCTAACATCTAGCAACCTCCAATCTCTATTGTCTCCAAAGTTTTGCCTTTTTATGTAATGTCATATAGTTGGAATTCTATAGTATGTAGGCTTTTCCTGCTGCCTTCTTTTATTTAATAATATACACTTTAGTTTCCTCCATGTTTTTTTCATGAATTGATGACTCATCTCTTTTAGAGCTGAATAATATTCCATTGTTTGGATGTACCACAGTTTATTTATCCATTCACTGACTGAAGAACATCTTGGTGACTTATGTATATATACACATGCACACAAAATAAAAAGAAATTCATAACTATAATATGGTCTAGGATTACTAATTATAATATGGTCTAGGTTTTCCACCTTATCATATATGGTTTATATATTTTGCATCTTATTGAGATATCTTTCTTCCTCTGAGACGGTAAAATTGCATTCATTTAAAATATTAAAATTGTGTATTCAAATTTGATTATTTTATATACTTGGAATTAATTTTTGCATAGATTACACTGTAGAAATACAATTTATCTTTATTCCATATGTATAACTTTTTCTTCTAGTCTAATTTATCAAATAGTCATCTTTCCACATCATTGTGCAATGTGTGCCCTGTCATTAATCGAGTTCCGTAAGTGAGTGGATTTAGGACTTGGCTCTCTGTTTTGTAGCAGTAATATATCTGATTATACTATATTATTTTACTGTATGGTATTGATATTTTTAAAAATATATTTTGATACCTAGTAAGGCAAAACCCCATAATATGCTCTTTTTCAGGGGTGACTGCAGATACCTTACCAAGTACATTGTAGAATGAGGTCATCGTATTTCATAAACAACAACAAAAAAATCTGTTGGAAATTTGCTTGGGAATTTAATGGATGTGTAGATTTATTTGGAAATTACTAAAATATTTTGAATATTGAAACTTCCTTTTTAATAAATTTTAATAAAATTCTTACATACATTTTAGAGGGTTTATTTTGTAAATATGTGTGTTATAACTATAAACAGTATATTCATTAAATTCTTAAGTAATATTTTCTAATTTTTTGATTCTTGAGTACAGTTTGTGTTTGTGCATGGAATTACAATTATTTATGTTTTGATTCTTGATACATGATTGTGACAAACAAGACAAAGAGCATTCTCTCATAAAACTAAACTTTTGTTTGATACAGGACAATTAGAAAAGTAAATGAATTAGTAATTAGTAATTATAGATATTAGTAAGTATTATAGAAAACTAATAAAAAACATTAGGTTTTGATCTGGGCAGTTCATCTCTGATAGAATACTTAGGAAAGTGTCTCTGAAAAGCTGGATTTGCAGTAGTCTTTACGAAATCTTCATTAATAAAATGTTCAGAAGACAGTTCTTGGTCTTTTCTTAGTCGTAGTCACAAAATTGGTAACCCCATTTAATCTTGTAGATATGAAAATCACCTTTTTCCAGTGGCAGACTCTCCATGTCTCTCTCCCAAACTAGTCAACATCTCTACTTGGACATTCACTAGATCATTTAGACTTCACATGTTCAAAATTGATGTCTAGACCCCCACCATTGTCCACTAAAATCTGTTTCACTCACTCTTCTTTCTTTCTGTTTTTGTTTTTCTTTTTTTTTTTCAACTTTTATTTTAGATGCAGGGGGTACATGTGCAGGTTTCTTACACACGTCTATTGCATGATGCTGATGTTTGGCATGCAGATCCTATCACCCAGGTAGTAAGCACAGTTCCCAATAGGTAGTTCTTCCACCCACACCCCACTCCCTTTCTTCCCCTCCCCTCTATTAGTCCACAATGTCTATCATTCCCATGTTTATGTCCGTGTGTGCTCAATGCTTAGCTCCCACTTATAAGTGAGATCATGTGATATATGGTTTTCCGTTCTTGCGTTAATATGCTTATGATTATGGCCTCCAGCTACATCCATGTTGTGGCAAGGGACATGATTTCATTTTTTTTTTATGGTTGCGTAGCATTCTGTGTTATATATACATCACATTTTCTTTATTCAATCCACCATTGTTGGGAACCTAGTTTGATTCCACATGTTTGCTATTGTGAATAGCACAGCAATGAACATATGAGTGCATGTGTCTTTTTGGTAGAAGGATCTATTTTTCTTTGGGTATATTCCTAGTAATGGGATTCCTGGGAATAATGGTAGCTCTGTTTTAAGTTCTTTGAGAAGTCTCCAAACTGCTTTCCAAAGTGTCTGAAATAATTTACATTCCCACCAACAGTGTATAACCATTCTCTTTTCTCCACAGCCTCGCCAACATCGTTATTTTTTTGACTTTTTAACAATAGCTGTCTCACTGATGTGTGACGGTATATCATCGTGGTTTTGATTTGTATTTCTCTGATGATTAATAATACTGAGTGATTTTTTTTATGTTTGTTGGCCGCTTACATGTCTTCTTTTGGGAAGTATCTGTTCATGTCCTTTGCTCATTTCTGAATGGGGTTATTTTACTTTTGCTTATTTGTTTAAATTATTTATAGATTCTGGATTTTAGACATTTGCCAGATGCAGAGTTTGCCAATATTTTATCCCATTCTGTAGGTTGATAGCTTCTTTGGCTGTGCAGAAGTTCTTTAGTTTAATTATGTCCCACCCTTTTATCTTTAATCCATCTTGAGTTATTTTTTATATGGTGAAAGGTAAGAGTCCAATTTCAGACCGGCCACGGTGGTTCATGCCTGAAATCCCAGCACTTTGGGAGACCGAGGTGGGTGGATCACTTGAGGTCAGGAGTTTGAGACAAGACTGGCCAACATGGTGAAACCCCGTATCTACTAAAAATACAAAAATTAGATGGGCATGGTGGCGTGTGCCTGTCATCCCAGCTACTAGGGCAGCTGAGGCAGGAAAATTGCTTGAACCCGGGAGGTGGAAAGAGGTCGCAGTGAGCCGAAATCGCAGCACTGCACTCCAGCTTGCTAGGCGACCGAGAGGGACTCCTTCTCAAAAAAAATAAAATAAATAAAAATAAATTGAAATCCTGTTTCATTTTTCTGCCTATGGCTAGCCACTTATCCTAGCACCATTTATTAAATTAAGAGTTCTTTCCCCATTGCTTGTTTTTATTGATTTTGTCAAAGATCAGATTGTTGTAGGTGTGCAGGTTTATTTCTGGGCTCTCTATTCTGCTCCACTGGTCTATGTTTCTGTTTTTACACCAGTACCATGCTGATTTGGTTACTGTAGCCCTATATTGTAGTTTGAAGGCAGGTAGTGTAATGCCTGCAGTTTTGTTCTTTTTACTTAGGATTGCTTTGGTTATTTCAGGCTCTTTTTTGGTTCCATATGAATTTTGGAAGAGTGTTTTTCCTAATTTTGTGAAAAATGACATTGGTAGTTTGATAGGAATAGCATTGAATCTGTAAATTTCTTTGGATAGTATGGCCATTTCAATGATATTGATTTTTCCTGTCCACAAACATGAAATGTTTTTCCATTTGTTTGTGTCATATCTGATTTTTTTCAACAGTTTTTTTGTAGTTCTTTTTGTAGAGACCTTTGGCCCCCTTGGTTAACTGTATTCCTAAGTATTAATATTTAATTTTCTTTGTGACTGTTGTACATGAGATTATGGTCTTGATTTGACTCATCGTAGATGTTATTGGTATATAGAGATGCTACTGATTTTATATATTGATTTTGTTTCCTAAAACTTTACTGAAGTCATTTGTCAATTCTAGGAGCCTTTTGGCAGAGTCTTTAGGGTTTTCTAGGTATATAATTATATTGCCAGTGAAGAGGGATAGTTTGTGTTCTTTTCCTATTTAGATGTATTTTATTTCTTTATCTTGCCTGATTATCTGGCTGGGATTCCTGGTATTATGTTGAATAGGAGTGGTGAGAGTGGGCATCCTTGTGTTGTTCCAGTTCTCAAGGGGAATGGTCCCGGTTTTTGCCTGTTTAGTACGATGTTGGCTGTGGGTTTGTCATAGACAGCTCTTATTAATTTGAGATGCAATCCTTTGACAGTCTGTTGATGGTATTTATCATGAAGGGGTGTTGAATTTAATCAAAAGCCTTTTCTTTGTCTATTGAGATAATCATATGGTTTCTGCTTTAATTTTATCTAATGAATCACATTTATTGATTTTCATATGTTGAACCAGCCTTGCATCCAGGGAGTAAAGGCTACTTGATCGTGATGTATTAACTTTTTGATGTGCTGCTGGATTTGGTTTGATAGTATTTTGTTGGGGACTTTTACATTTATGTTCATGAGGAATATTAGCCTGAAGTTTGTGTGTATGTGTGCATGTGTGTATGTCTGTCTCTGCTAGATTTTAGTATCAGGATGATGTTGGATTTGTAGAATGAGTTAAGGAGGAGGCTCTCTTCAACAGTTTTTTAAGAACGGTTTCAGTAGGATTCATTCCAGTTCTTCTTTGTATGTCTTGTAGAATTTGGCTGGGAATCCATCTGGTTCAAGGATTTTTGTTTGTTTGTTTGATGGGTTTTGTTATTACTGATTCAATTTCAAAGCCTGGTATTGGTCTATTTGGGGTTTCAATGTCTTCATGATTCAATCATGGAGATTGCATGTTTCCAGGAATTTATCAATTTTCTCTATTCCCTTCCCTTCCCTTCCCTTCTTTTGACAAAGTCTCTCACTCTGTCACCCAGGCTGCAGTGCAATGGCTTGATTTTGGCCCACTGAAACCTCCCCTCCTGGGCTCAAGCAGTTCTCCTGCCTAAGCCTCCTGAGTAGCTGGGGCTACAGGCACAAGCCACTGCATCCAGCCAAGTTTTGCACTTTTCGTAGAGACAGGGTTTTGCCATGTTTCCCAGACTGGTCTTGAACTGCTGAGCTCAGTTGATTTGCTTGCCTCAGCCTCCCGAAGTGTTGGGATAAGAGGCATGAGCAATCACACCTGGTCCATTTCCTCTAGATTTTCTAATTTGTGTGTATAAAGTTGTTCATAGCCTTCTGTGAGGATTTTTGTGTATTTATATGGGATCAGTTATAAGGTGTCGTCTTTGTCTTATTTATTTATTTATTTATTTATTTATTTATTTATTTTTTGAGACGGAGTCTTGCTCTGTCGCCCAGGCTGGAGTGCAGTGGCGCAATCTCGGCTCACTGCAAGCTCTGCTTCCCGGGTTCTCACCATTCTCCTGCCTCAGCCTCCTGAGTAGCTGAGACTACAGGCACACACCACCACACCTGGCTAATTTTTTGTATTTTAGTAGAGATGGGGTTTGACTGTGTTGCCTAGGCTGGTCACAAACTCCTGAGCTCAGATAATCCACCCGCCTCAGCCTCCCAAAGTGCTAGTATTACAGGAGTGAGCCACCGCACCAAGCCCTCATCTTTGTCATTTCTAATTATACTTATCTGGGTTTTCTCTTTTTGTTGTTAACCTTGCTAGCAGAATATCAATCTTGTTTATTTTTTGAACAACCATCTCTCGGTTTAATTGATCCTTTGTATAGATTTTTGCGTTTCAATTTTATTCAGCTCTTTTTAAATTTTAGTTCTTTTCCTCTGCTAGTTATAATGTTGGTTTATTCATTTTCCCTAATTACTTTAGGTGAAAAGTTAGATTGTTAATTTAAGATCTTTCTAACTTATAGATAAAGACATTTTAGTGCTATAAACTTTCCCTTAACACTGCTTTAGCTGCATTCCTAAAATTTTGGTGAGTTGTGTCCCTATTTTCATTAATTTCAAATAATTTTTTGATTTCAGACTTAATTTCTATCTTTATCCAGGAGTTATTCAGAGCAAGTTGTTTAATTTTCATGTATTTATGCAGTTTTGAGAGATCTTCTTGATATTGATTCCTATTTTTATTTCATTGTGGTTCAAGAGTATGGTTGGTATGATTTCAATTTTTCAAATTTATTGATACTTGCTTTATGACCAAGCATGTGGTAAATCTTAGATTACATTCAATGTGCCAATAAGATGCATCCATACTCTGTAGTTGTGGAATACATGTTTTGTAGATATCTACTAGGTCTAATTGTTCAAGTGTTGAGTTTAATTACACAGTTTCTTTGACAGTTTTCTGGCTTGATAATCTGCCTAATGCTTTCAATGGGGTGTAGAAGTCTCCAACTATTATTGTGTGGTTGCCTAAGTGTTTTCACAGGTTAAGAAGAACTTGTTTTGTGAATCTCGTGCCGCAATATGAGGTACATACGTATTTAGAATCATTAAGTCTTCTTGTTCTATTATATTCTTTATCATTGTATAATGCCGTTCTTTGTCCTTCTTATTTTTATCATTTTAAAGTCTGTTTTATCTGATGTAAGAAAAGAAATTCTATTTCCTTTATATTTTTTGTTTGCATGATAGACCTCTCTCAACCCTTTACTTTGAGCCTGTGGGTATTGTTATTTGTGAGATGGATCTCGTGTAGATAGCAGATGGTTAGGTCTTGTCTTTTTATTCAGCTTGACACTCTATGTATTTTAAGTGTGGGCATTTAGCCCATTTACATTCAGGGTTAGTATTGATATGTGATATTTGGATCCTGTCATCATATTGTTAGCTGGTTGTTACGTAGACTTGATTATGTAGTTGCTTTATAATACTTGTGGGCTATGTGTTTAAGTGTGTTTTTGTGGTAACAAGTGTCATTCTTTTGACTTCATATTTAGTACTCCCTTAAGTACCTCTTGCAAGACTGGTCTCCTTGAAGTGAACTTCTTAAGTGTTTGCTTGTGTGAGAAGGATTTTATTTCTCCTTCACTTATGAAGCTTAGTTTGTCAGGATGGTAAATTCTCAGTTGGAATTTCTTTTCTTTAAACATGCTGAACATAAGGCTCCGATCGCTTCTTAGAGGTCTGCTGCTAGTCTAATGAGGTTTCCTTTGCATCTGACTTGACCCTTCTCTCTAGCTGCTTTTACGATTTTTTCTTTTGTGTTGACCTTGGTGAATCTGGTGATCATGTGCCTAGGGGATCATAATTTTGTGTAGTATCTAGCCAGGGTTCTCTGTATTTCGTGAATTTGCCCATCAACCTCTGTAGTGAGATTAGGGAATTGTTCACCGACTGTATCCTGAAATATATTTTCCAAGTAGCTTATTCTCTCTCCTTCTCTCTCAGGAATGCCCATGAGTCTCAGATCTGTATCTTTACGTGGCCTCATATTTCTTGGAGGTATTGTTCATTTTAAAAAATTCTCTTTTCTTTATTTTTTTCTGACAAGTTAGTTGAAAGAACTGGTGTTCAGGCTCTGAGATCCTTTCCTCAGCTTGGTGTATTCTGTTGTAAACATAGATTGTATTGTGGGGCTTGTATTGTATTATGAAATTCATGTAGTAATTTTTTCAGCTCTAGAATTTGTTTAGTTCTTTCTTAAAATGATTGGTCCTTCTTTCAGCTATTGGGTCATTTTACTGGATTCCTTGAATTAGTTTCAACTTTCTCCTGAATCTCAATGAGCTTCCTTGCCATCAAGATTCTGGATTCTAAGTCTGTCATTTCAGACTAATCATTGCTGGGGGGCTAGAGGACTCATTTGGAGGTAAAGGGATGCTCCATCTTTTAAAATTGTCAGAGTTATTTCACTGACTTATTCTCATCTGTAGGTGTTAGTGTTCCTTAATCTGTGGTAAAAGTTAAGTTATAGATAGTTCATTTCATTTTTGGATGTTTTCAGAGGGCCAAGATGCTACACACAGTCTTTCTTTGTGGCTGAATTCATGCCCTTGGTTTCACAGGGGTGTGTATTTGCTAAATATTTTTGGTGTTGAAGTTTGGGCTGCCATCCAGTAGCTGCCGCTTAAAAGTAATGGGTGGTAAATAGGTTCTTACTCAGTTGTGTGGCTCCTATGTATTTCCTCCTGTTTGCAGCCATGCTCTGCAGTGCAAAGGGAAGGAGGTGACTCCTTCAGTAGGTCTGCTGCTGGCCTATCTCTAATCACTGGCATCGGGCCCATGTTTCTTTTGTTAGGTGTTCTAGGCTGTGGGGCTCCCTGGGAAAAGGCCACATCACAGAGACATGCCACACCATTTCTAGGCTGGACCTGTGGAAGGAATTATCCCCCATCTTGCTCAAGACCACAAGGTCACACATCTGACCTCTAAGTGCCCTGAGAGTTTGGGCTTCTCTGCCACTAGAGTGCTAGCCACAGATCTCAGCTCAGCACTCCTGAGCTACTTGCTGCCACCCTGGGGCACTAAGATAGACTTGTGCTGTATCCTCCAAACACCTGGAGTTGGGTTCAACGTGGACTGAAGGATCTGAAGTGCTCCCAGCCTGCCAGGAATGTAACCAGGTGGAGTGAAGGACCCAGGCTGAGCAGTAGAGTCTGCACTGTGAACATGCTCCTGTAGGGCTGTCAGGAAGGGAATCTGGGAGCGGTTGGCAAGCAGGAAGACTTGCAGAATGCATGTGCTGTAGTCCCACAGGAAAGTTATCTCTGCTTTTTCCTGTCCTAGTGGCCATCTCTTCCTTTCTTACCTGAGGGTAACTTCATCTTCTTGGTTTTTAGGCCAAAAACCACAGGATTGGGAAATCTGTGAGAGACAGGTGCTTTCATGCTCCAAGCACGTTCTGAGAATCCATCACACACACACTGTCCTACATTTTTGTGATTCCAAGTCTTTAACCATGCAGCACAATCATTAGTTGCTAATAATTATAGATACATATTCTCACTTCAGGCCGTTTCTCAAATCATGGCTGCTCGACATTAAGACAACTGCTTGAAGTAAGCTCATTAGAGTATTTTTCCTTCACTCTTCTTCAGAACCCACTGTATCTAACTCATCAACAAGTGTATTTACATATGATGCTAGTATATTGCATAATGCTATCTTTAAGCCAGCTTATTTTTTTCATTTTTTTCAAGAAACTTAATGTGAGTAATGTCCCACACAGCTGCAGTTTTCAATCAAAGCACAGATTTTATTAAAAATAGTAAATCAGTCGTAATGAAAGTATAAGATATCTATTCATACATTTCAACTTAGGTATCTGCTCAGGTCTAAGCCTGTATTTGCCAACTTGGACTTTAAGTGAAACAATGTATAAAAAAGCCAGTTTTTTTTTTTTTTCTTATGAACGTTGTAACAAAAGGACATTAATCAAAATGACATTATTAAAGGACCTGCTGTATGTCATTCCACTTAAAGTAGAAGTTTGAAAGACTCTATGATAATGTTAAGTGAGAATTTACTGCACACACTTAATATGGTGATTTTAATGTGTAACAGCATGGCAAATTTAAATTTCTTTTTTTTTTTTTGAGACGGAGTCTCACTCTGTCGCCCAGGCTGGAGTGCAGTGGCACAATCTCAGCTCATTGCAAGCTCCGCATCCCAAGTTCAAGCCATTCTCCTGCCTCAGCCTCCTGAGTAGCTGGGACTACAGGCGCCCACCACCACACCCAGCTAATTTTTTGAATTTTTAGTGGAGACAGGGTTTCACCGTGTTGCCAGGATGGTCTCGATCTCCTGACCTCTTGATCCGCCAGCTTCAGCCTCCCAAAGTGCTGGGATTACAGGCGTGAGCCACCGCGCCCAGCCACAAATTTAAATTTCAAAACAGAATGTTCAAGCTCTTGCCAAAAAAGTTATGTACTATCCTTTATCCCTTTGTTTCCCTAAACTCCAAAAGCAAATCATAATCTAGTGCTATTGAGTTGCCTTTTAAAATATACTATATACTGTAAATCTGACTACATCCTACCCCTCTACTAAAGTTTTAACCATCATCATCCCTTATTTGGAATGCCTTATTAGCTCTCAAATGTCTTCTCTGCTTCCTGTTTTTGTGTGTCTCTCTGCTCTTTTCCACAAAGTAATCAAGCTTTCTGTTTAAAAAATGTATATTTCTTTTGCACCAATGCTGTGACATACACTATTTTATCACACACACACACACACACACACACACACACAGACATAATTGATGAGACAGACAAAAACACACACACAGACAAACATGATGGGATAGACAAAAATCTCTATCCTGGTGTAGGTTTTCTTTATGGGAAGGAGAGGAGGCAAATAACAATAGATAAATGTAGATAAAATGATAAATTGTTTGTTGATTTGTTCCATGGAATAAAATACAGAGAGTTAGTGGATTGAAAATGACAGGGAAAAAAAGAGATTGTATTTTGAAATGGGGTAGTCAGTACAGAGTTGAGAAATAACAGGTTCACCATGTGGATATTGAGAAAGAGCCCTTTGGCAGAGGGAACAGCAAGGGAGAAACCTGTAAAGTGGGAATATATCTGCCTTTATTCAGAGACAGCAAAGGGGCCAGTAGAATTGGAGGACAGTGGAATTAACAGGAGGCCAGATTACTTAGGTTCTAGTATCAACCAATTCATTGAGCTTTGCCAAGGATTTTGGTTGTCTTCTGAGTGAAATAGCAAGATACTGGAGAGTTTTGAGCAGAAGAGTGACATGATTTTACTTATTTCAAATTATCACTCTTGATGTGCCATTGAGGGTAGAGAGCAGTGCATTAAGTGTAAACACAGGGAGATCAGTTTAGGAGGCCTATTCTAATCCATGCTGGAGATTATGGTATATCAATCTGGGAGTACAATGGAGACAGTGAAATGTAGCAAAATTCTGCATATATTCTGAAATGAAAGGCAAGAAGATTTCCTGAAGATTCGATGTGGGGTAAAAGAGAATGTAGAGTCATTCACGATCCAATCTCACCAAATTCAATTTGGAAAGACTGATGAAAAGAATTTGGAACTCTTTAATGCTCATTTCACTGTGAGAAACATCCAGGGCTCAGCAGAAGCTATGCCAGCAGGACCAGCAATAGCGGTGGCAGCGTCAAGGTCCAGTGGAGGTCATGCCATTGGAGGTGAAGCTCAGTCATCAGCAGCAATGATAATGGCATCCCAACTTGACTCTTGTTTAGATTTGTTTGCAGATCAGCCTATCTGGACATCTTTTGTTTCTGCACATTTCTCAAACTGTTATTTGAACTATAGAATATGTTTCAAATGAAATTCATTGCTGCTAAGTTAATTAGAATCAGTTTCTGTTATTTTCAAATAAGAAACAAGTTATACAGTGACTCTTAGTCTCTAAGCACAAGGACAAAATTATGTTTTATTCTATTTGTGTGTAGGGCCCAGTTACACAGTAATGTTTCAAATATGCTTTTTTTGTTAAATAATGAGATAAATCATTAGTAAAGGAATGAATTGGTGGATGAATTAAATTAATTGACCAAAAATATTAGGAGTTAACTTTTTTCTCTAAAACGCCTGTTTTTTTCTCTTCTTTCTTCCTTTCTTTCTTTTCTTTTCTTTTTTTACCATACAGCTTCCTATTTATTGAAAATATCATATTAGTTCAGAATGGAATTCTTTTGGAAAGGAAAAGTAAAGAACAGATGATTCAAAGTAAAAAAAGAGAAGTAACCTGCTTTCAAGTGTATGTGATGACCTGACATGTGTTGTTCTGTGTGTATTCTTGATTTTCATATCTTCTATTACAGCCTTTAAACCATAATTTGCTTTCAAAAGTTTTCACTTTTTGCTTTTTACCTAATTTTTATACTACAAAACTTAAACGCCTATTTTTATAATTATTTTCTGCTTTTTTTCTATACACAAAAACACACGATGTTTATTCAGTGCACTATGATAACTATGGAAGTGTATAATTTTGGCGTGACAATGTTGCAACATCTTAGATGGCATCCTTACCAGTGTATTAACAAAATTGAAGATGCCATTGACTATAACATAAAAACTTCAAATAACACTCATAGAAATTTAAAACATTTTTATATCAAATATCTCAATAGACTAGAAGATATAAACTTGGGCTAAACATATCTTATTAAATTCTTATAAATCACACTGCCTTTATTAATAATTATCATGATCAATAAGACTACTTCATTTTTACATCGTAAGTTTGAGTTATGCCCATCAGTACTTACATAATGTAATATTAACAAGGGCAGTAAGAAAACTCTATAATTAGGGTCATATCTCAATTTAGTATTTTTAGGTTAGAATTTTTTGTGTAATGGAATATAGTTTTAATCTTTTTAAAAATAAAAATATTTTATATAGTTATCACCTCAGCTACTTAATATCTCCATTAAAGTCTTGTCTTCTATTGGGAGCAAAAGTAGAATGTGCATGTAGTAAAAATGTATGACAAGGTATCTCTTAACAGCTGGGATAAACACAGCTTTAATTTTTGCTACTTACATAGTTTTTATTTTCTTATACTACTAATCTTAATAAACTTGAGGCTATTTAAATTGCTACATGCAGATCTAGAAGAAAACTTTGATGATGGGGTCTCAATGCCCTCATCAACAATGCTATATTGTTATAATTTTCTAGATTTATAGAAGATAGAAGTCTAGAAGCTTGTAGCATCTCAAATATCATAGAAGATAGCTGGAAATAGCAGCCTCCAAAGACAATAATTTTTTGGTTGTCAAATCAGTTCTGTAATTACGTATAAGTGAGATTGCTGAATTGTATTGTTTGTAAAGTCCTTCTATTGTTTGTAAAGTCCTTGTTTCATCTTAATTGTCCTTGTTTCTTTGCTTTGTCAATCTCTTTTAGTTGTTGTATTTAGAGGATACACATTTAAAGTAATTTTTGATAGATTTGGATTAACGTCTACTATGTTTGTAACTGTTTTCTCTTCCTTGCACTTGTTCTTTTTTCTTTCCATATTTTTTGGCCTCATTTGTTATTAATTGAATACTTTACATGATATTATATTTTCTCCTCTATTAGAACATCAGTTATAGTTCTTTATTTTTAATCTTTTAAGTGGATGCACTAGAGTAAGCCAACTTTAAAATAGAACGATACCACTTCATAGACAGTGCAGGTACATTATAACTGAGTATTCATTATTCTTCCTTCCCTTCCCTTATAAAGTTGTGTTGTTCCTTCATCTACTCTCATATGCTACAATCTAATACTTCATTGTTATTATTATTGATCTGAATAGCTATGTAGTAGATTAGTTAATAATAAAAATACCAATATTTTATTTTAATTTCAGCTGTTGCTTTTCATTTGCTTTATTTTGTTATTGTTCAATGCAAGTCTGATATTCTGACCTATGTCATTTCCTCATTCCTGAAGAACTTTCTTTAACATTTTTTGTAGGTTAAATCTGCTAATGTTGAATTTCCTTAGTTTTTGACTGAGAAAGTAGTTGTCCTTCACTTTTAAAAGATTTCATGGGATACAGAATTCTAGGTTTTGTTTTTCCTACAACCCTTTAAAATTTCACTTGCCTGCATGGTTTCCAAACTTTCTTGCATGCATGGTCTCTGAAGATAAATATAATTTAATTCTTCTTGCTTCTTTATAAATACGATATTTTTGTTTTTCTATGTTCTTTCAAGATTTTTCTTTTTCTTTGATTTTCTGCAATTTGAATATGTATGCCTAGTTGTAGATTTTTAGTATTTATGCTTCTTGGTGTTTAACTGAGCTTTGTGGATCTATAGTTGGGTGTCTGTCATTAATTTTGGAAAATAACGTGTCATTATTACTTTAAATATTTATCTGCTCCATTCTTTTTATTCTACTGTTATTCTTATTACACATTTACATCTTTTCTATTTGTCCCACAGTCTTTAGATTCTCTTTGTTTATTTATTTTTCTTTTACTCTTTTTTCACTTTGCATTTAAGTTTGGGGAAGTATGGGGAAGTTTCTGTTGATATATCTTCATGCGCACTGATTTTTTTTTTCCTCAGCTGTGTTCAGTTTACTGATGAGCCAGTAAGAAATATTCTTCATTTATTTTAAAGTGTTTTTGATATTTTTGTTATTTTGATTTTTCTTAGAATTTCTCTCGCTCTTCATTACACATCTGTTCTTTCAAGTTGTCTACTTTTTCCAGTACAGTCTTTAACATCATGGTTATTTAAAATTTCCCATCTGATGATTCCAAAATTTATACCATATTTGAGTCTGGTCCTGATGTTTGCGCTGTATCTTCAGGTTTTTTTTCTACTTTTTATTATGATTTGTAATTATTTTGTTGAAAACCAGGTATGATATGTCACATAATAGAAACTGGAGCAAATAGACCTTTTGTGTGAAGTTTATGTTAATCTGGCAAGGATTTGGGCTACTTTAGTTGTTTGCTGTAGCTGTAGGTTTCAGGGGGCTTCAAATTCCTCTATTGTCCTTATTTTGACCTCCCTTTCTGTCTTTGTGTTTTTGTAAGAACTTCTTTCTAAATAGAGCCTGTTCCTGGCATTTTTGTTCTCCATAATTCTGTTATCATACTACAGCCCTGCTAATGCGGTGGTAAAGAGTTGGGTGGGGGGAATTGTTCTATAATTTTTTAGTTAACTCTCAGTCTTTTTAGTGGGCCTATGACCCTTGGCTGACATTTTCACAGATGCTTCTAATTCTTTTTTCTCTCTGCCATATACATGAGATTGGAAGGCCAGTGAGTATTTGTGTTTGGTAACTGAGCCCCTGCCTATGTGGAATAAGGCTATTAAAGTCTTTTTTGTTGTAAAGTAGGACTTTTATTAAGTATGCACTAGTAACCATTTCACGATGGTTACTTTTCCCCTTGTCAAAGACAGGAGGTGCATTTTCTTAACTCTTCAATATAAAAACTTGGTGGATTTCGGAATCTTAAACCGACAAAAGTAAGAATCACCCCAGCCACAGGACCGCATGCCCTCAAGAGTTTATGACTCCCAAGATAGTTTAGACATGGCTTCCAGCAATTCATCAAAATTACCATTGAAGTCTTTCCACTAGTGTATGGCCTGGCGTGGTGGCTGATACCTGTAATGTCAGCTCTTTGGGAGGCCTATGAGAGTGAATCACTTGAGGTCAGGAGTTCAAGACCAGCCTGACCAACATGGGGGAACCCTGTCTGTACTAAAAATACAAAAAAAAAAAATAGCTTGGCATGGTGGCGATTGCCTGTGATCCCAGCTACTCAGGAGGCTGTGGCAGGAGAATCGCTTGAACTCAAGAGGTGGAGGTTGCAGTGAGCCAAGATCGCACCACTGTACTCCAGCCTGGGCAACAGAGCCAGACTCTGTCTCAAAAAAAAAAAAAAAAAGTGTTTTTACCGGTGTATGGCTCTAGCAGCTTCTGCTCCAGGTTGGTTGTGTTTCCCTGTTGTAACCCATCTCTCCAGACATTGATCTGGGTGTTTTTTATCATATTGTTTCAATGGGAGTGATGACTTCTAAGCTGTTTATTTTACAGAGCTAAAACTTAAAGTCTTATCTTGACATTTTTGATCCCAAGAAAATGAGCTAGTACTTAGCACATAAAAAATAGTAAGTACTATTATGTGGAATACATAGATGGAAGCCCTAATCAAAGAAATGGAAAGTGAGGTCTTCAGTAAAAGAGAGTAATAATAGAATCAGTAGACAACGGAATAATGAGAATAAATGCAACAACTAGATCATGTATCAACACTATAACTTCTAACAGTGAGTGAACCGAGGCTTAAAAAAAAGTGTACAGAATGTCATAGTTTTTCTGTTTGTGTGAGTAGAGGGACTTTAGAGAGGCCACAATGTGGGAGCTCTTTAAATCAGGACATCAAAAAGGAGAACATTTTTAAGATGATCACTCAAAGTGATGCAATAACACCACTGATTCCACATAATTACTGTTTAAGCATAGTTTTTGTTGATTAGAGTAAATTTATTAAATTAGTATCATATTATTTCCATTTTAATGTTACTTATATGAATCACTTTAATTTAATTAACAAATAATTATTAAACATGGCCTATGCTGGAGGTGAGTAGGTGATTGAGAGAAGATCAAATGATTATTTAAAATAAATGGAAATAACTTTGTATAATTTCTTCTTTTTTTGTTTTTTCTCTATTGCTGGAAATTATCACATGATGCTTAAAGTTTCACAGGTTAGGTTCCCTGTATTAATATATCTTTATACCTATCAGGATTCTGATATTCATTATATAAACAAAAATATTTACTTTAATAGGTAGAAGTATATATTAAGAATTATGATATGGCAATATAAAAATATTAAAAAATATACATATAAGCCCTTCAAGCAAGAATAAGGACAATATTATGTTATTTTGATTTGTGGCTTGCAAACTATTGCTTTCAATATATTTTATATATGGTATGTTTAAATCATCTTATTATTTCATGGTCATAAACTTATTCCATATTTCTTAGTACAATAAAATATTCATTTTTAAAATGGACTAAAATATCAAGACACTAAACATTGCAAATCAATATGAACACTGTTTTCTTAATTATGGTGTAAATTGGTTATATTTTTGTACAAACAAGATGCCAATTCTTTGATAGTTTATTTAAAACATATAAAACACAATAATGCATTCTGTTTAATTCTGGAGATTAACATTTATATTTTAGTGCTTATTAGGTTTGCTTTGAGATGATGAAGAAATTTTAAACCTATTGCAATGCTCAATAGACTGAAATATTTGAAAATCGTGAGTTGGTGAAGAAAATTGATATACTATTTAATAAACTATGATGGCAACTAAAAACCACAAAAGAAAGATTAATACTTTTGGCTACATTAAAATTAATATATATATTGAGTCTCTTGGGGGAGCAAGTTGGACAATTAGAAGTCTTTTAGCATTTCCCTCTGTATTAGTCTGTTTTCATGCTGCTGTGAAGACACACCTCAGACTGGGTAATTTGTAAAGGAAAGAGGTTTAATTGACTGATAGGTCAGCATGGCTGGGGAGGCTTCAGGAAACTTACAATCATGGCAGAAGGGAAATCAAACATGTCCTTCTATACTTGGTGGCAGGGAGAAGAATGTGTACAAGGGGAAAAGCCCTTTATAAAACCATCAGATCTCATGAGAACTCGCTCACTATCACGAGAGCAGCATGAGGGAAACCACCCCCATGATCTAATTACTTCCCACTGGTTTCCTCCCATGACATGTGGGGATTATGGAAACTACAATTCAAGATGAGATTTGAGGGGACACAGCCAAACCATATGTTCCTCCTCCACAGGAATGCCAAACTAAACAACTATTCAGACAAAAGAGCATCTTCATTAGAATCCCAAATCAGGTGAGCAATTAGAGTATCTGGTTTTAACATCATTTTTAGGAAGGAAGCACTGAGGAGGGTAGAAAAGACTGTTGAATTGCCTACATGACCCTTTCCTCAACCCCTGGCAGCGGCTGAGTGGTGTAAAGAGAGAATCTGTGCCCTTGGGGGAAGAAAACACTGATTCTCAAGCTTTGCGTTGAAACTCAGTGCTGCCCTATCATAGTGGAAAGCAAAAACGGGCAGAACTCAGCTGGTACCTACGAAGGGAGCTTTTAGACCAGGCTTATTCAGAACCAATTTGTCCATTCCAGCAGTCAGAACCTGAGTTTCTACAAGGTCACCCACTACAGGTTAAAGTGCTTTGGGGTCCTAAATGAACTTGAAAGGCAGTTTACGGCACAAAAACTGCAAGTCTTGGACAAGTCTTGGTGCTGAGCTAGTCTCAGAGCCTGTGGACTTGGGGTGAACACAACCTAGTGAGATACTAGAGGGGGTCTCCAAGGGAGTGGTTTCATTATACATAACCCATCCCAAAGCAGCCAAGCTCTCAGCTCCAGGAGAGATTCTTTCCTTCTGCTTGAGGAAAGGAGAAAGGCAAGTAAAGAGGTTTCCGTGTCGCAACTGGAATACCAACTCGGCTAAAGAAGAATAGGGTACCAGTTAGAGTCTTGAGGCCCCCATCCCAGGCCCTAGCTTCCAGATGACACTTCTAAATACATGCTGGCCTGAAGGAAACCTGTTGCAATGAAGGCAAGGACTTAGTTCTCACAGAATTCATCACCTGCTGACTAAAGGACCCTTGGGCCCTGAATAATCAACAGTGGTAGTCAGAAAATACTTGCCACCAACCTTGGGTGAGGCTACGAGCTGCACTGGCCTCAAGTGTTATGCAGCACATTCCCAGCTATGGTGGCTATGAAAAGAGACCCATTCTGCTTGAGGAAAAGAGAGTAAAGGGACTTGGTCTTGCAGCTTAGATAACGGCTCAGATACAGAGAGATAGAGCACAAAGTGGGATCACAGGGTCCCCAGTTCCAGGCCTTGGTTCCTGGATAGCACTTCTGAATGTACCCTGGGCCAGCAGGAGTCTACTTCCCTGAAGGGAGAGAACCAGAATTGGCAGCATTCACCGCAAACTGATCAAAGAGGCTTGGCCATTAAATGATCATTGGTAATAGCAGGGCAGTACTTGCCATGGGCATGGGGTGGTGGTGGCCTCTGGGAGAGACTACTCCACTTAAGAAAAGGAGAGGGAAGAATGGAAAGAACAGACCTTCCCAGGACCAGGGGGAACTCATTCTCCTAAAGGGAAGGACATAATCCTGGCTCGATTTGTGACCTGCTGATTGTAGAGCATTTGGGCCTTGAGTGAACATAGGAAGGGACCAGACAGTGGTCATTTTGCGCCTTGAGTGGACTCAGTGCTCTGCTGGATTCACATCTAACCCAGTACAATTTACATGGTGGTAGCCACAGTGGTGATGCAAGCAGCTCAGCTCAGAGGGAGATACTCTGTTTATTTGGGGGGAAGTATGGAAAAAGAACAAGAGGCAATGCCTGATAATCCACAAAATTCTCCCAGGTCTTACCCAGGAAGAACAAGACAGTACCTTTGTAACTTTGCAATAGCCACAGTGTCACTGGGCTAGGAATGCCCTCTAAAATCTTCATAATTGCAGTGACCAAAGGCTTAGAACAAAACACTCAAGCTCCTTTGAATACCTGGAAAGCCTTTCCAAGAAGGACAGGTACAAACAAACTGATACTGTAAAGACTACAATAAACAGCTAACCCTTTAATGCCCAGACACCACAATGAAAATCCACATGCATAAAGACCATCCAGGAAACCGTGATCTCATCAAATGAACTAAGAAAGCCACCAAGGACCTATCCTGGAGAAACAGAGATGTGTGACGTTTCAGACAGAACTCAAAATCGCTCTTTTGAGGGAGCTCAATACAATTCAGGAGAACACCCAGAATAAATTCAGAATCCTAATAGATAAATTTAACAAAGAGATTGAAATAATTTTAAAAAATCAAGTAGAAATTCTGGAGTTCAAAATGTAACAGATATACTGAAGAATACCTCAGTATTCTCATAATAGTAGAAATGATCAAACAGAAGAAAAAATTAGTGAGCTTGAAGACAGGCTATTTGAAAATCCAGTCAGATGAGACAAAGAAAGAATGAAAAAGAATGAAGCATGCCTATGAGACCTAGAAAATTCTCTACAGTGCAAACCTAAAGGTTATTGGACTTAAGGGGGAAGTAAAAGGAGATGTTGAGGTATAAAGTTTATTCAAAGGGATAATAACAGAGACCTTTCCAAACCTAGAAAAAGATATAAATATTAATAAACAAGAATATTATAAAACACCTAGCAGATTTAACCCAAATAAAGTTGCCTCAAGGCATTTAATAATCATACTCTGAAAGATCAATCATAAAGCAGCTATATAAAGTAAACAAATAAAAATGATCTCCAATATATCTGACAGCAGCCTTCTCAGTGAAAATCTTAAAGGCCAGGAGATAGTGACATGACATATTTAAAATGCTGAAGAAAATAAACTTTTATCCAAAATAGTATATCCAGTAAAAATGTTCTCCTAATATGAAGGAAAAATAAAGAAGTTCCCAGACAAACAAAAGCTGAGGGATTTCATTAACACCAGAGTCGTCCTACAGGGGATGCTAAAGGGAGTTATTCAATCTGAAAGAAAAGGATATTAATGAGTAGGAAGTAATCACCTGAAGGTACAAAAGTCACTGGTAATAGTAAGTACACAGAAAAACACAGAGTATTACAACAGTGTAACTGTGGTGTGTAAATTTTTTCATATCTAGAGTAGAAAGAATGAAAGATGAGCTGATCAAAAATACTAACTACAACAAATGCTTGAGACATAGGCAGTATAAGATATAAATAGAAACAACAAAAAGTTAAAATGCAGAAGAATAAAGTTAGAGTTTTTATGAGTTTTCTCTTTGCTTGTTTGTTTGTTTATGTAATCTGTGTTAAGTTGTCATCAATAACAGGTTATATTATTTCCAAGCCTCATGGAAACCAATTATCAAAAATATACAACACATATTTGTATAATTGATAAAAAGAGAAGCCAAGCTCAATGTTCTATTATCTAAAAGAAACACATTTCATCATAAACACATACATAGACTGAAAACAAAGGGATGAAAAAAGATCTTTTCATGAAAATGGAAATCAAAAACAAGCAGAAGTACCTATACTTATACCAGACAAAATGGATTTCATGACAAAAGCTATATAAAAAGACAAATAATATCTTATTCAATGATAAACGGGTCAATTCACCAAGATGATATAACAATTTTAATTATATATGTACCCAAAAATGAAGAACCCAATTATATAAAGCAAATATTGTTAAAGAGAGAGATATACCACAGTACAATGACAGCTGCAGACTTCAACATCCCACTTTCAGTATTAAACAAATCATCCAAAGAGAAAATCAATAAAGAAACATGTGACTTAATCTGTACTACCCAAGCTAATAGATATGTACAGAATGTTTCACCCAAAAGCTGTAGAATATACATTTCTCTCCTCAGTACATGGATAATTCTCAAGGCTAAACCATGTATTAGGCCACAAAATCAGTCTTAAAACATTCTTAAAAAATTGAAATAATATCAAATATCAGATATTTTTACTATAATGAAATAAATTGATAATAATTTTGGAAACTAGATAAAAGCATGGAAATTAATATGCTTCTTAATAATCAGTGATCAAGGAAGAAAAAAAAAGAAAATTATAAAATGTCTTGCAAAATGTGATAATGGAAATACCTATTAGAATACAGTGAAAGCAGTTCCGAGAGGGAAGTTTAGAGTTACAAGCACCTACATACCTACATCAAAAAAATAGAAGAACTTTAAATAAACAACATAAGTATGTGTCTTAAAGAACTAGAAAAGCAAGAGTGAATCAAACCCAAAATTATTAGGAAAATGGAAAAAATAAAGATCACAGTAGAAATAAATGAAATTGAAACAAAGAAAATTGAACAAAACATCCACAAAATAAAGTGTTTTGAAAAGATAAACAAAACTGACAAACCTTTAGCCAAACTAAGAAAATACAGAGAAGATCCAAATAAATACAATCAGAGGGAAAAAAAGGTGACATTGCAACTAATATTGTAGAAATTCCACAGACCATTAGAAGATACTATGAGGAATTTCATGCCAATAAATTGTAAAGCCTAGATAGAACGGATAAATTCCTAGATACATACAACCTACTAAGATTGAAACATGAAGAAATCCAAAACCCAAACTGAGAAATAATAAGTAAAGAGATCAAAGCTGTAGGAAAAAATAAAATAAAATAAAGCCCAGGACTTGATGGCTTCATCCAATATTACCCAGATGCCAAAACCAGACAAAGACACACTAAAAAAGGAAAACTATAGGCCCATAACCCTGATGAATGTTGACCCAAAATCCTCACCAAAATACTCACAAACTGAATTCAACAGTAAGTTTAAAAGGTTATTCATCATGACCAAGTAACGAATGTTTCATCCAAAAACTGCAGAATACGTACTGCTATACTGCAAGGCTACAGTGACCAAAACAGCATGGTACTAGTACCAAAACCAACATATAGACCAACAGAACAGAAAAGAGACCTCACATCTACACATCTACAATCATCTGATCGTCACTTAAAACTACACATCTACAATCATCTGATCTTCAACAAACCTGACAAACAAATAACCAATGGGGAAAGGATCTCCTATTCAGCAAATGGTGCTGGGAAATCTGGTTAGCCATATGCAGAAAACTAAAACTGGACTCCTTCCTCACACCTTATTAAAACATTAACTCAAGATGAATTAAGCACTGAAATGTAAAACCCAAAGCCATAAAACCCCTAGAAGAAAACCTAGGCAATACCATTCAGGACATAGGCATGGGCAAAGACTTCATGACAGAAACACCAAAAGCAATTGAAACAAAAGCCAAAATTGACAAATGGGATCAAATTAAACAAAAGAGCTTCTGCACGGCAAAAGAAACTATCATCAGAGTCAGCAGGCAACCTACAGAATGGGAGAAAATTTTTGCAATCTATCCATCTGACAAAGGTCTAATATCCAGAATCTACAAGGAACTTTACATATTTACAATAAAAAGAACTAACATCCCCATCAAAAAGTGGGCAAAGGATATGAACAGATGCTTCTCAAAAGAAGACATTTACATGGCCAACAAACACATGAAAAAAAAAAGATCAACATCACTGATCATCAGAGAAATGCAAATCAAAACCACCATGAGATACCATTTCATGCCAGTCAGAATGGTAATTATTAAAGTCAGGAAACAATAGATGCTGGGAAGGCTGTGGGGAAATAGGAACGCTTTTTTACTGTTGGTGGAAATGTAAATTAGTTCAACCATTGTGGAAAACATTTTGGTGATTCCTCAAGGATCTAGAACCAGAAATACCATTTGACCAAGCAATCCCATTACTGGGTATATACCCAAAGGAATATAAATCATTCTGATATAAAGACACACACACACATGTTTATTGAAGCACTATTCACAATAGCAAAGACATGGAACCAACCCAAATGCCCATCAGTGATAGACTGGGTAAAGAAAATGTGGTACATATATACCATGGAATACTATGCAGGCATAAAAAGGAATGAGATCATGTCCTTTGCAGGGACATGGATGAAACTGGAAGCCATCATCCTCAGAAAACTAACACAGGAACAGAAAACCATACATTTCATGTTGTCACTCATAAGTGGGAGTTAAACATTGAGAACACATGGACGCAGTGGGGAGAACAACACACACCAAGGCCTGTTGGGGGATGAGGGGAGGGAATTTAGAGGATGGGTCAATAGGTACAGGAAACCACCATGGCACAAGTGGCACAAGTATACCTATGTAACAAACTAGCACATTCTTCACATATATCCCATTTGTTTTTGTTTGTTTTGTTTTAAATAAAAAGAAAAGAAAGTTAAAAAAATGTTATTATCATGACCAAGTGGGATTTATTTGGGGGTGGCAAGGATGTTTCAACCTATGCAAATCAATCAATGCAACATATCAGAAGAGTAGTTTACACACCACAATTAAAGTGTTATTATATTCTCTGTTTTTCTGTGTAGCTGATATTACCAGTGAGTTTTGTACCTTCGGATGATTTCTTATTGCTCATTAATATCTTGTTTTCTCAGATTGAAGAATTGTCTTTAACATTCTTTGTAGGACAGTTCTGGTATTAATGAAATCCCTCAACTTTTATCTGGAAAAGTGTTTATTTTTTCTTCATGTTTGAAGGATGTTTTCACTGACTATACTATTCTGGTGTAAAAGGTTTTTCCTTCAGCACTTTAAATATGTCATTTCAACCTTGCCAGGCCTGTAAGGATTCCACTGAAAAGTTGGCCGCCAGGTATACTGGAGTTTAATGCATGTATATTTTTTATTTTGCTGCTTTTAGGATCTTTATTTCATCTTCGTCTTTTGAGAGTTTGATTATTAAATGCCATAAAGTAGTATTTCTGTTAGATCTGCCTGGTGTTCTATAACCTTCTTGTACTTGAATATTGAAATGTTTATTTAGGTTTGGAAAGATCTATTATTATTCCTTTGAATAAACATTGTACCCCTATCTCTCCCTCTACCTCACCTTTGAATCTAATCACTCTTAGGTTTGTCTTTTGGACAGTATTTTCTAGATCATGTATAGATGCTTTATTTTTGTTTTATTCTGGTTTCTTTAGACTCCTCTGATTGTGTATTTTCAAATAGCCTGTCTTCAAGCTCACTGATTCTTTGTTCTGAATTAATTCTGCTATTAAGAAATTCTGATGCATTCTTCAGTATGTCGGTTCCATTTTGAGCTCCAGAATTTCTGCTTGACTCATTTGAATTATTTCAATTTCTTTGTTTAATTAATCAGATAGAATTCTGAGTCCTTTCTTTGTGTGATCTTGAGTTTTGCTGAGGTTCCTCAAAACAGCTACTTTGGGTTCTGTGTTGAAAAGTCACATATCTTTTTCTCTGAGATTGGCCCTTCGTGGATTATTCAGTTTATTTGGTAAGGTAATGTTTTCTGAATCATTTTGATGTTTGTGGATGTTCATCTGTGTATGGGCATTGAAGAATTAGTTATTGTAGTCTTTGTAGAATGGGCTTGTTTGTTCCTGCTCTTCTTGGGAATGCTTTCCAGATATTTGAAAGGACTTGGGTGTCCCTTAGTTATTTTCTCTCAAAAAAAAAAAAAAAAAGGAGTCTATCCCTCTGTGCTGAGCTGCCTGGATTTGGGAGATATGTGACACAAGCATCCCTGTGGCCAATACCACTGGGACTGTGCTGGGTCAAACCTGAAGCCAGCATTGCACTGGGTTTTGCCCAAGGCGCATTGTAACTGCTACCTGGCTACTGCCTACACTTGCTCAAGACCCTGTGGCTCTTCAGTCAGCAGTTGGTGATGCCACACAGTTTTCTTTATTTACCTCTAGGATGATGAGTTCCCCTGGGCCCCAGACAGGTCCAGAGATGCTGTCTGGAACCACGGCATAGAGTTAGAAATATTAGAAACCTATCTGGTGCTCTATTCTACTATGGCTAAGCTGGCACCAAAATCACAAGACAAAGTCTTTCACACTCTTCCCTTCCCTTTCCTCAGGCAGGAGAGTCTCTTCCTATGTCTACCACTGTCATGGACCCATGGGGAGTACTGTAAAAGTACTACTGATGTTCACATAAGGCCCAAGCGCTCTTTGGTCAGCTTGTGGTGAGTGCTGTTATTCCTAGGACTCATCCTTCAGGATAATAAGCACTCTAGTGGCCCAGGGTAGATCCAGAAATGCTGTTCAATTCCTCTCTGGCTAAGGCTGGTAAGTTTGGTCTGTTTTTTCTCTCTGCTCTAACAGGACAATATTGAGTTCAAGCCCTCACAATGTCTGTGCTCTCTCTCCTCCAGTGCCCAGAGATGATCTCAGCACCACACCTTCAGGGGCAATGGGGAGGGTAACCTTGGTGATTCAAGATTTTTTTTTCTATTTCTTAAGTGCCTCTTTCAGCAATATGAAGTTAAGTCCAGCTACTATGAGTACTCAACTTATTTATTGGTTCTTATGAAGGTGTTTCTTCTGTGAAGATAGATGTTAAATTGGTGTTTTTGCAGGACATGGGGGACAATCAGTGGAGCCTTCTATTCTGCCATCTTGTTCCACCTTCTCTCTCCTGTGGAAATTTTTATGAAAGACTGACATCTCAGAACTCCCAGTGGTATGTAAGCTGACTGGTCAGTTTTAATTTTCTTGGTGAATATGATAAGTCACGTATAGTCTCTGAAAGTCAGGAAAAGTATTGGAAAATCAATATTCATATTTCAGCCTTAAAGATAGGTTAAACATAATGTTTCAAGTCAGAAAAAGTTAGTTTGATCCTCTATTTAAGTTCAAAAAGTCTTGTACAAGTAAAGCACAGGGACAAAAAATAGATCATGGGCTAGTGGTGTTCAGGTAACTCAGTTTATTCATGTTTACTTGAACAAGAGTACAGAGCTGCTTACTCCATTTGGAGAACCTACATTCAGTGTTAACTTTGGTTACTTAGTTATCAGGCAAGCTAGGTCCTCTCTGACTTTCTTATGGGTTTTGTCTTTGTCATTGTCAGTGTTGAAGTTGAGATCTCTTTCCAAACTAAGATGAATAATGGTAAAGAGATAATTTACTTCTACTATACTAAAATTTGGTACTATATGATAGCAAAAGTATGTTTTAGAATTATGATTGAACACTTTCTTGTCATCCTTTGGCTGAATAATCTTGGAAAATGTGTAAATAAATCATTCTGATTTTCAGTTTCCTCATCTGTAAAAGAGAGAATAATGAATTCATTCCTTTAATTAAACAAACACCTGTTTATTTATGAAACAAGTGATGATAAAAATATCTGTTAGAATATTTCGAAGAATTTAATATATATATTTATTTATTTATCTTAACTTTTATTTTAGGTTCTGGGTACATGTTCAGGTTTGTTATACAGGTGAACTCATGTCACGGAGTTTGTTGTATTAAGCAATGTGAAAAAAACACACTTTCTTTAATATATTAACATTAAACATTCAATAAATGTTCATCTTCTTCTGACCTTTTGTTTATTCCATATCTCATTTTTACTTGTATTCAGGTCATTTATATTTGCTCCTGTGTCACTTCATAGATTTAATAATATTTTTATATAAAACGATTACTTATGCCAATATTATATGACTTATGGTAATTCTAAACTACTTATAATACGATACTTGAAAGTCACAAATAAATACCTAAACTATATATTTATGCAAATTTATACTCTTTGTCCTTCAATGTGAGTTTTAAGGGAAGCGCAGCACAAAATATTAACCCTGGATAGCTCTTTGGAGGATGTACAATTTTTTAATTTATGTATTTATACATCAATATTTTGCAAAATGAAATAATATTATTTAAAATTAATGTATGTAATATTGGAAGAGATAGAACTTTTAAATCATTTTGGTTACATCATTGTACTATTGATATTTTTCTACAATTTTAATAGCAATTATTCAATATATCATTGTATGAGTAAACTTTAAAACCTGTCTTGTTACAAAGCATAAGTTTATGTCAATAATAATTTAAAAATTTAAATTTTTATTTACTTTATTTTATTTTCTTTCTTTATTTTTTGAGACAGAGTTTTGCTGACTTACAGGCTGGAGTGCAGTGGCACAATCTCAGCCCACTGCAACCTCCGTCTCCCAGATTCAAGCAATTCTCGCACCTCAGCCTCTCAAGTAGCTGGGGTTATAAGTGCCCGCCACCAAGGCCAGCTGATTTTTTTTTTTTTTTTTTGGTGTTTTTAGTAGAGACGAGGTTTCACTATGTTAGGCCAGGCTGGTCTCAACTACTGACCTTAAGTGATGTGCCCACCCTGGCCCCAGTGCTTGGATTACGATGTGAGCCATTGTGCCAGACTTCAAATTTTATTTTAATTTCTCATTATTTAAGTGAGAATTTTTCCGTTCCAATTTTTGATTTTTCCACCTGATATAAGTCAACTTCTAATTTCAATTTTATTATTTTAGCATTAAATGTGATTGTATTAGATATTTACCATGCAGAAATCCCTGGAAGAAATTGACATTTTTTTAATAATGAGGAAGTAAAAGGAGTAAAAAAATACACTGAAAGCCCCATTTACATGTATGCAATGAATCAGTCTTTATGCCATTTAATTAACTTGGAACTTCATAAATACTAAAATTATGACTGCGTTTATATGAATGTATTAACCTTCAGGAGTATATACAGTGGTTAATTTGTACTTAGCAAGATACAAATACCAAATTAGATGTCAATTAATTGATTAAAATATCTTATATTTGAGTAGCTATTTTAAATCTGACATTCAATAAACACCTTTCAAAAGCAGATGGAGTTTTGACGGGCATTTCCCCATCTATATTCAGTCTTACATTTTATTTATCATTTGTTAAACTCCAAATATGTGTCAGGTGCCACGTGATGCTCTCTTTCTGCCCTAAAACACGTTTCTCTAATTTTAACTCTAACCAATTATGACCAATTCCACTGCTAAATGTTTATTTCTTTCCAAGCAAACTTGAATGTTATGGTTCTAGGAATATTTCCAGAATGGAAAACTTTTCTAACTTTTTATTTTTAATTTTCTTAGATAATTGATTTCAATTTATCCATACTTTACTCCATCATCTCTCTATAACTCAATGTTAAATTAAATTACCCCATTGAAAAGTTAGTTATAATTATATTGGTATTAATCATTGACAATCTTTCATAGTATCTTTTCCTGGCAATCATTTGTTAATAATTTATCTCTTTATTCTCTTTGTCAGTGATTCATTCTTGATAATTTCTTCACTAACATTCTACGGCTAGATATATAAGACATAGAAAGTTCTTAACTTGGCTCAGTATTTGTTATTGTTTGTTAATACATCTGATGTTTTAAATGAGATCTACTGAGTTAATTAAAACTAATATAATTTACAAAGTGCTAATATTTATCAAGTGTTTTTGGCTGTCGGAATAATAGAAGGAAACATCATTGCCAGATTGATACAAAAGCACTGTGGATTACTTATTTAGACAATAATTTGATTTTGTTATACAAATGGAAATAGAATGGTAATTACTCATCACCTAATCCTTTCCTTCCAAAGAGTCCCACAGCCCAATGGGATACACCATCTTAATTATTTACTTAGCTAACTCTCTTATTTATTATCAATAATGTCATCCATAAGAGACAAGGGTTAAGCTGCATAAAGTGATTTAAATTTAAGTTGTATTTCATAATATATAATGAGGATATAACAGGGATTATTCAATTAAATTTATTTCAATGATACATTCTTGTATTTAAAATGTTGTGAAACACATTTGAATAAAATATGCAGGAAGCATCTATTAAAAAGCTCTGGTTTATGCTATGGCCGTACTTAACATTACACTGCGTCAAATAGTTTTTTTTTTTTTCTCCTAACTTCCAAAGCATCCAACTGCATTTCTATGTGGCAGGACAGACCTGCCACATAATTGCATGCTTTCATAAACACACTTGTATGCTCATGTGTCTGGGACCAGTTAAAAGTGGTTTCCAGTGTTAAAATCTTTCCCTCCTCTTCTACTTCAAAGTAAAGATTATTTTAAATTCTTCTTTCTAAAGCACGGATGAAGGTATGAAGCTATTTTTATTATGATCTAATATAATTTTGAATCAATTAGAACTAGAATCAAGATGTATTTCTGATACAAAGTTTTTCAGAATATAACAGCATACATTCAATCATATTTAGAGCAATTGAGGCAGATATTACTTTAAAGTTATCTTTATATTATATCTCTATTTGGCAATTTCTCCCCATTTCCAAAGTCAAACTCTAATTCTTGTTATTCTGCTTAAATTTGTCTTAGTTTCCTGCATTTTTATTAAGCCAAGGATTTCATCTACTTTCTCTAGAGAGAAGAATTTAAAGGCTATTTGTTTTCAGATTAAAACAGAAAATGGAACATTTTGTAAAGTGAGAGTAAATCCACAGAAAGATGATTATGCATCCAAAGCATATACAAATCCACTTTTGTTAGCTTTTTCTTGTTGTTAATATCACCCTATTTGGTAAATGACATAGATATGTAAATATTAGACATTTATAGCCGCCTGTACTTTTAATTAAAAAGCAATATTAAAAAATAGAAACAGAAAAATAATTGCAAGCATGGTAGAAAAAGGGTTATTATCCTTAATACATGAGTTCTTGAAAATATGTAACTAATCACTGTTTTTCATTAAAATACTAAATAAGTGTATGAAAAGATAATTGTTAGGGAAAAATACAGATAGACAGCACACAGCAAAATATGCTCTAGGAAAATGCACTAGGAAACAATCAAGAATAGAGATTTCCTATGACTAGAACTCATAAAATTTACAAAATTTCATTTTACTTTTTTATTTTTATTTTTAACATTCTTTTATTTCAATACTTAAAAAGTACAAGTGGTCTTTGGTTACATGGATGAATTGTATAGTGGTGAAATCTGAGATTTTAGTATACCCATCTCCTGAGTAGTGTACCTTGTGGTTCAACAGGTAGATATTCATCCCTCACCCCTTTCCTACCCTCCACCCTCTGAGCCCCAGTGTTCATTATACCATTCAGTATGTCTGTGGGTGCCTAAGGAGTGGATAAAGAGCATGTGTGGATATATATACATATATACACACATGCCATGTAATACTACTCAGCCATAAAAAAGAATGAAATAATACCTTTTGTAACAACAAAATATTATGTATTAATTATGATAGTCAGATCTATGCAGAAATGAAAATGTTCATGAAACGGTGGAAAGCATTCTGACAGTAGCATGTTTTTTTTTGGATTTCTCTATCTAATTATTCTAAAGATGCTAAGAAATATCAGTGAATGCCTTCTGTAGTATTTTTCATAACAGTAAAAAATGGAATATATCACACATATTCAATATTTGTTCTGTTAAATTATGGTGTGATTATATGATGTGATATTATATTGTCATTAAAATTAATACTCAAAGACTAATGGCATGAAAATTGGTTGTTTTAAACAGTAGCAAGGCAGGTAATAGAACCCTGAATTCAATTTTACCCTAATTTTTCAGTTGGTTAAATGTATTCAAATAAAATTACAAGAAAGGAATTCACCAAAATATTAGCCTTGGATAGCTCTTTGGAGGATGTACAATTTTTTAATTTATGTATTTATACATCAATATTTTGCAAAATGAAATATTATTAAAAATTAATATATGTAATATTATTGGAAGAGATAGAACTTTTAAATCATTTTGGTACATCATTGTACTATTGATATTTTTCTACAATTTTAATAGCAATTATTCAATATATCATTGTATGAGTAAAAATTAAAACCTGGCTTGTTTCAAAGCATGTCTATATCAATAATAATTTACATTTGAAAACATATAAAACATTCTGTATATACTTAGATCTCAGAATATGAATGGAATAAATCTGCATTTCCCTAGACATTGAAAGAAAACTTGTATAGAATTTTAGCTTTCTTCTCTAAAACTATATTTATAGCAAGCCTACAGATGTAAGCCTAAACACACACACATTGTTTAGAATTAGTTGAGTGTATTATAAGCTTTTACAAATACAAAATCTTGATTTTCTGATGATCTTTTAGAGAATCTGAAGATATGACAAAATTTAGCTTTCTGATTCTTGTAGGACACTGATGGCTGATGGTATCTGCTTTATTTTTGATCATAGAACCCAACTCTCTGAACTTAGGTTATCTGCCTAAACCTTGTTGGCATTTATACTTAAAAACTGTGTTGACCAAAATATCGTGCAGTAGTAGTATGCCATTAAAAAACTGAGATTTTTACATAATCAAGTTTATGAAACTAAGAAGTTATAAGGCTTCTAATTTTTAAAACATTATATTTGTATGTATGTATTCCTTGAAGCGGAAGTGACTTATTTGTGTTTAAGGTATCTAGCAAGATAGCAAATCAAAGGACAATGAAGTGAAAGTTTATTTTAATTTAAAAATAAAAGGTATGTAAGGAGACAATCTAGATGTTCTTTGGTATTGATAAAATTAGAGGCCGGGCGCGGTGGCTCATGCCTGAAATCCCAGCACTTTGGGAGGCTGAGGCGGGCAGATCATGAGGTCAGGAGATCGAGACCATCCTGGCTAACACAGTGAAACCCCGTCTCTACTAAAAATACAAAAAATTAGCTGGGCGTGGTGGTGGGCGCCTGTAATCCCACCTGTTAGGGAGGCTGAGGCAGTAGAATGGCATGAACTGGGGAGGCAGAGCTTGCAGTGAGCCAACATTGCGCCACTGCACTCCAGCCTGGGTGACAGAGCGACACTCAGTCTAAAAAAGGAAAAAAAAAATTAGAGGTTACAATTAACCTTTGAAATGTTTCTTCACAGAATACTTGAGTGTGCGTCATAACATAGTTTGCATTACATTTGCCTGCCACAGATTATTATATTCATATTGTAAGTAGATGAATTAGTAATATTAATTTAAGTTTATATGTGACATAATTTTCCATGCCCTTATGTGTAAATCGTTGGAGTAATCTCCAATGTGATTTTCTTTGATAGAAGAGAAGATAGTGCTTTTCTAAGAGGTGTATGAAGTGATTCAGATAAGAAGAAATTCAGGGACTTGTAAGAATATTTCAACTTGAAGCAGGCTAATATCCTTTGCCTCAGTCTTTAACTTTCTCTTTCCAAGTCTCACTGCATGAATTCCTCCCTGATGGACAGCATGCATATTCATCTCAGTGTGTAGAAGTTTAAGACATGCTAAAGCCATTCATCTTCTCTGAAAGCCTGGATGATTATAAGCACAGACATTTTGTGTTCAACAGAGGATTACACCAGAAAGATTGGTTGAGTACACATTTATTTCATTGTCAGATCTGTACATGGAGTCCTTCATGTGGAATATAGTATGCTGTCTTCAGCTACTGGATTCTATGAAACAGAGAGTTAGTACCTGGACTACGTTTTACTGCACCACCCCGCCACTCCTACAGAATTGCTTTTGTGAATTTCTTATCAGTCAATATTGGAGAAAATGCTATGACAAATGTACAGGAAGCAAAACCTTATCACAGCTGTTCTAAGACAATGTCATCAAGAACTTTATTATAGCAAACATTGTCTGAGTCGATTCACTCTTGTTCCTCCAAGAACATATTTAATTTTACGATCACTGTGAAATGTGTAAATGAGTAGACTAACTTCTTCTTACAAAAGTTTTTAACAAACTTTGAGCCAAATTTGTGGTCCATGGAAGCAAGAAGGTAATTGTTATGAATATATTCAATTTTATTACTAATTTCTGTCCTTACCCTAGCTTTTCCCTTTTTTTAGACGTATAAATATATAGATATACATATTTAGACATTAATAAGCCATTCAAATACATCTGTAATAAAAACTTTATATATTATTTAACATGATTTCTGGTATAATGTGTGTAAACAGCAAACAAATGCATACATAATGTAAATCTTACCAAGATCACGTGAGATTGTGTGTTTAACAGTAATGTTAAAAGGAAAATGCCAGTGTGTCTCATGTGCAATTTAAAATAACTTCACCATCCATATATCAAAATAAGTCATATTGTGTCTGGAATTGGTGGGTTCTTGGTCTCACTGACTTCAAGAATGAAGCCGTGGACCCTTGCGGTGAGTGTTACGGTTCTTAAAGGTGGTGTGTCTGGAGTTTGTTCCTTCTGATGTTCGGACGTGTTCGGAGTTTCTTCTTTCCCGTGGGTTCGTGGTCTCGCTGGCTTCAGGAGTGAAGCCGCGATCTTCACAGCGAGTGTTACAGCTCTTAAGGTGGCGCATCTGGAGTTGTTCGTTTCTCCGGTCCAGAGTTGTTCATTCCTCCTGTCCAGAGTTGTTCATTCCTCCCAGTGGGTTCGTGGTCTCGCTGGCCTCAGGAGTGAAGCTGTAGACCTTCACGGTGAGTATTACAGCTTATAAAGGCAGTGCAGACCAAAAGAGTAAGCAGCAGCAGATTTATTGCACAGTAAAAGAACAAAGCTTCCACAGTGTGGAAGGGGACCCAAGGGGGTTGCCCCTGCTGTCTGGGCAGCCTGCTTTTATTCCCTTATCTGGCCCCACCCACATCCTGCTGATTGGTCCATTTACAGAGGGCTGATTGGTCTGTTTTACAGAGAGCTAATTGGTCCGTTTTGACATGGTGCTGATTGGTGCGTTGCAATCCATGAGCTAGACACAAAAGTTCTCCAAGTCCCCACTAGATTAGCTGGACACAGAGCACTGATTGGTGCATTTACAAACCTTGAGCTAGACACAGGGTGCAGATTGGTGCGTTTACAAACCTTGAGCTAGACACAGAGTGCTGATTGGTGTATTTACAATCCCTTATCTAGACATAAATGTTCTCCAAGTCCCCACTAGATTAGCTAGATACGGAGTGCTGATTGGTGCATTTATAAACCTTGAGCTAGACACAGAGTGCTGACTGGTGTATATACAAACCTCCAGCTAGACATAAAAGTTCTCTAAGACCCCACTAGACTCAGGAGCCCAGCTGGCTTCACCTAGTGGATCCTGCACTGGGGCCGCAGGTGGAGCTGCCTGCTGGTCCCGAGCCATGCGCCCACACTCCTAAGCCCTTGGGCGGTCAATGGGACTGGGTGCCGTGGGGCAGGGGGCAGCACTTTTTGGGGAGGCTTGGGCCACGCAGGAGCTCACGGCAGGGGAGAGGCTCGGGAATGGTGGGCTGCAGGTGCCGAGCCCTGCCTCGCAGGGAGACAGCTGAGGCCTGGTGACAATTCGAGTGCAGCACTGGCAGGCTGGCACTGCTGGGGGACCCAGTGCACTCGCAGCTGCTGGTCCGGGTGCTAAACCCCTAACTGCCCGGGGCTGGTGGCGCTGGCTGGCCGCTCTGAGTGTGGGGCTCGCTAAGCCCATGCCCACCTGGAACTTGCACTGGGTGCGCAGCCCTGATTCCCACCTGCACCTCTTCCTCCACACCCCCCTGCAAGCAGAGGGAGCTGGCTCCGGCCTTGGCCAGCACAGAGAGGGGCTCCAACAGTGCAGAGGTGGGCTGAAGGGCTCCTCAAGCATGGCCAGAGTGGGTGCGGAGGCCGAGGAGGTGCAGAGAATGAGTGAGGGCTGCCAGCCCACTGTCACCTCTCAGTATGATAGCTGTGACTTTTTAGATAGACTTTCCTTATATCGATCCTTCAATTTTTGCATAGTATTTTTAATTTGTTGAATAAAATAATTTTATTTAGTATAAAAGAAAACATGTATTCCTCGTACTTCTAGCATAGATGGAGAATCATATAAATAAAAATTTAGCAAAATCAACTCATTTTAAATACATGTTATAATAAAATACTTATATTAATGATGGGTGTTCTAGTCCATATGAAATTTCATTGCTAGATCTAAAACTTATGGTTTCTTTTCTTTATCTTCTTGGGAACTGTATTTTCCTGATTTTACTCCCTTCTTCCTGTCTTCAAATTCTCCCCTAAACCTGAAAACGCTAAATAGTTCCTTAACTTTAGACATGAACGCCCACATCCTAGATAATAATCTAACCTCCATCTAGATAGTCACAGATACCTCAGAACCAATTTGTTCTAAACTGAATTCATCACTCTATTACTCTTCATTTATTCAATATCATCCCCACACTGATAAAGTATCTCTTGCCAATTTCATGCCATATCTCAGAACAACACTGTTTCCAGTTTCTCAAGCCAGAAACTATAATTCTCTTAATCCATCTTCTCACTTGACAGCCTCATTTTCAATTATTCATTGAATACTGAGAAGTCAAACTTTGACATACCTATTGAGTCTATAATCTTCTTTCCAACATGATTATTTCTCCTCTGAATCAGGCAGCAGTTTCCCAGTTAATACCTATGCCTCCAACCTTGTCTTTCCTCAATATATTCACACTGCAAAATGCAAGTTCTAAAATGCAATTAAACATTTCATTGCTTTCTGGATAAAATCCAATATTACGGCATGACCAGTAAGTTTCTTTATCTCTTTACGTATTACCTTTCTTTCAGAATATTGAAATTGCCTTCCGTTTCCATGAGGTATTGGACACTTGCCAGAAAAATCTTCATAAAACGTTACATTATCAAGTTATATTGTGATTGCCTACGCTAAAGTTTGTACTCCTGGCTTTCAAATCTTACAGCTTGCTACAAGAGTAATTTATGAATTCTTTCATTTTCCTGCAGCGTTATAAGTGACCTTTTAATTCTATTGATCTACTCAGTGGCCTCCAGATTCTGGCATGTACAATTCCTCTCTCTTTAACTTCTCTATGGCTTTAACTTTGCCTGGAATTTGTTATATATTGTATCTCTACTTTTATTTATAGATTCATATACTCAAAGACTAATCCATCCCTCTGTTATTTCCACAGCTCTATACACTCAGATTATGTAGATTTTATTATTTTCCCTTTAAGTGTTTCTGAAAAGTAAACAAAAATAACTATCTCAATTCTTGTCCTTTGATTGGATGCAGACACCTTTGCATTCAGAATAGCACATGACAAGTTTGGTAAGTGTGTGTTTGTCTACAAGCTATGGTTTGTATGACATTGAAACAGACCTTTTGAACAACTATGAATCTGTTTTCTTTATAAAGTTATTTAAGTCTCCACCAGTCATAACCTCTTCCCCATTTCTTCTTTAAATCTATGAAATAGGTATGTTTACTACTTACTGCCAATATGTGCACTTTCATATCAATCATACTATATTTTAAAATAAGTTTCATTTTCACTTGATATCGCTCTCTCTGTCTGTCTCTCTGTCTGTCTCTCTCTCCCCCCTCTCTCTCTCCTCCCCACCACTTTCTCTCTCAAAACTAACAACGACTTGAGAATAAATGTATGTTTCTTTACAGTTTGGCAGACTATAACCAACAATATCTCTGGAAAGAAATTTCTCTGAAATCTCATGACCTATTTAAAATTATATGCTCATCTGCTTTCTATTTTAAATTAAAGTAGTATTGTTCTTATAAAATAAAGATATAAAAATATAAAGCTTACTGTTACTTCCTATTAGCAAAAGCAAGCAACCAAAATATTCTTAAATTTCCTATTTATGTTCTTAATCAATAGGTGATGTGGTTTCACTGAGTCATATTTCTTCCAGGCATTTTTTCTCATCTGCCTAATTGCCAAAATATTACACTATACTTTTACTAAATATGAGTATACAAACTGAGCAATGTAAATGTTGCTGTAAAATAACAGTCCATAGGTTTATATTTTGATCTTTTCCATATGAAAGCAGCAAGACTTAGAGTCAATGTAATCTACAGTGATAAAACTCATTTCAAAATAAACGTCTAAGTACATCTCATGCTTTTCATCACAAATAGTACTTATAACTGATTTATTTATTGTAATTGTGATGATAATAGCATTTTTAATAAAAAAATTATTATTGTGATCTTCTGGAACACTATTGTTTGACATAATTTGAAGATTTCAAGTTTAACATGAATCATTAAAATAAATAATTCATTGATATTAATCTGTGGTATTTTAAACTTCTTGTTTTCAATAATTCATGTTCCCAGTTAAAACACAAACTAAACATTATTAAACCTTGAATGGGTAATATGAAATTTACCAAACCAACTAATCACACAAAGTAGTATTTTATTTGGTAAAAATATTTTACCAAAAAATGTTTCTTGGTAATTTTATATTTTATTCCCCTTGTGGTAGGGAGTGGAATAGAATTTAAGATTAATTGAGGAGTTATAATTATTTGTAAGTAATATATCTTTATTTACATAGAAATAGTTATTATACATATATTCATTCTTAAAGTATTACACTCATTTTTTAAAAATTTATTTACAAGCTTCTATTGAGTGATCAAAAATCTTAAATTGTCAAGTTTTTAGACCAACATTAGCTGGTCATATAAATAACATTAGATCAAGTATCTGTTCTTCCTATAAAAACAGGCTGAGCATACGTATAATTGCAGTATTGGAAACAACACAGATAACAAGAGCCATGAAACATTACTTATTCAGAAAGCAAAAACTGGTTTTCCCTCACAACTCTTTGGAGATTCTTACATAAGATCCTTAATATGTTGAACTATATTTTATTTCTCTTTCTATGAGCTTAATTATATCATTTTCTGTATAAGATGACTTTTCTAGGTTTTTTTTTCCCCCTGTGAGTTGCTTCATACTTAGGGAAATATTCTATTGTTAAAAAAGATGATCACTTGGTGATGTGAGACAATCATTTATATCTCCTGGCTTGATACAGGAATTAAGATGATACACAACTTATTTCATCCAAGTGAAGTTTCAACTCAGAATTTTAAATGATGCTTGCAACTTTCACATTTTTACTTGATATAACCACTTGAACTAGTTACCTGTCCAATCCAGCCAGTGAAGGTTTATGAACCAAATCTGTTAACATCACTTAGTTATTGTACCCTTTGATTTTTCACAGTGAGAAGAAAATTAAGATAAACAATTTTTGAAAGAAAATGGCTGTGAATTTCCAAAACCATCAAAAGGTTATGAAATCACATTTTTAGGAAGAAGCTCTCTATAGGATAAATAAAAAATAACAGCAAACCTAAACACACAATAGTAAATTTGCTAAAACAACACAAAAAATTTATAGCAGCCAACAAAATAAAAGTGAAATGATGAGAAGAATGTATTGCATAGTCTCAAACAAAGTGATAGCTGGTGTAGCTATATTAATGTTAAATCTATTAGAATTTAAAGTAAGAAACATTATTGGAGTTGAATGAGGCATTTCATACTTAAAAGATTATCTGGGAATAAAATAAGAAAAAATCTAAATTTGTATGCTTTTGATAACATAGCAGTAAAGTTTTCAAAATCTAAAATTGGGTTAATATATAAATATATAAGTAAACAAATTAATTTTCCTAATTTGAGATTTTACACAGTATCAAGATTTCTTCACAGTGTCAAACCAGAAAAGCAAACAAAAAGTTAGAAAGGTTGGAGATTTGAAGAATAAAATTAATAAATTGACTTAAATAGCATATATAGGACCATGTACAGCCAAATTATAAATTACATAATCTCTTTAAGTATACATATAACATTTCCTATGACTTATCATGCATTGTGCTTAAAATTAAATAACAAATGTCAAAGAATTAAGATCACACCGTTTGTTTGTTTATTTATTTATTCATTTATTTATTTATTTTGAGAAGGAGTATCGCTCTGTCACCCAGGCTGGAGTGCAGTGGCGTGATCTTGGCTCACTTCAAGCTCCGTCTCCAGGGTTCACGCCATTCTCCTGCCTCAGCCTCCTGAGTAGCTGGGACTACAGGTACCTGCCACCATGCCCAACTAATTTTTTTTTTATTTTTAGTAGAGATGGGGTTTCACCATGTTAGCCAGGATGGTCTCGATCTCCTGACCTTGTGATCCACCCGCCTCGGGCTCCCAAAGTGCTGGGATTACAGGCATGAGCCACTGCGCCCAGCCCATACAGTTTATTTTAAAGTCACAAAGTTTTGAATCAAGGTACAAATCAATAATAAATCTGAAGGCTTTTATATACGGATTATACAAGCCAGAATTATTCTATTTAACTGCCAAATCAAATAAGAAACAATAGTGAAATCTATGTACAAGAATGTTTAAGCATCAGGCTGGCTTTTACAATAGTAAAAAACTATGTACAGGAATGTTTAAGCATCAGGTGGCTCAAGCCTGTAATACCAGCACTTTGGGAGACCGAGGCGGGCAGATCACTTGGGGCCAGGAGTTCAAGATCAGCCTGTCTGGAAAACATGGCAAAACTCTGTCTCCACTAAAAATACAAAAATTAACTGGGCATGTTGGTGAATTCCTGTAACCCTGGCTACTCAGAAGGCTTAGGCATGAGAATTGCTTGAACCCGCAAGTGGAGGTTGCAGTGAGCTGAGATCACACCACTGTACTCTGTAGTGCAGCCTGGGCTACAGAGCAAGACTCTGTCTGAAAAAAAGAAAAAAAAAAAAGTTTAAGCATCAATATACATGAGTCAATATCTTACAACAACAGTAGAATGAATAAATAATACTTAACATATTCCACAATGAAATACTATGCAATCATGAGAAATATATAATGGCAATGCATGCTTACACTGGATTAATATCAAATATAATGTTAAAAAACAGATATAAAATAGTAGATATGTGATTTAACTTATATAGAAGGTTTTTAAAGGGGCAAAACTTATCAGTTTTGCCCCTTTAAAATCAATATAGTGGTTAATTTGGGGAAGAAAGGAAAGGCTTATATTTGATAATGGGACATTTACTTTGTACAACAACAACAACAAAAAACTTTCTTGAATACATTAGGAGCTTAATTTGCTCTTCTGCCTCTTAAAATACCTCTGCCTGTATTAGTACACAAAAATGCTTTGTAAAATAAAATGAACCAGCAGGACATGACCCTACACTTCACTGATATAGGTGACATCATCTATAACTTGGTGCCCTGTACAACAGGGTTGTCAGCATTTCTACCTGACACTGTCATTTTTCTATGGATTCAGAGAAGACAAGGAAACTCCTGGAGCATAGTTAAAACCATTCAGTGTTTTTCCCTCTCGTGCGTGATAAAATCTAATACACTTAACATTATCTAGAGTCCCTGAATAGTCTGTTTCCCCTCTTCTTTCTACTTTGTTTTCTTTCTTTTTCTTTTTTTGAGACGGAGTCTCACTCTGTTGCCAGGCTGGAGTGCAGTGGCACGATGGCTCACTGCAACCTCTGCCTCCAGGGTTCAAGAGATTCACCTGCCTCAGCCTCCCAAGTAGCTGGGACTACAGGCAAGTGCCACCACGCCAGGCTAGTTTTTTGAATTTTAGTCGAGATGGGGTTTCACCATGTTGACCAAGATGGTCTTGATCTCCTGACCTTGTGATCCACCCTCCTCAGCCTCCCAAATAGTATGGATTACAGGCATGAGCCACCATGACCGGCCTCCCTCTTCTTTCTATGAACTCATCTACTCCCTCCTTTCCCCTCAAATTGTTCATAAGTGACACATCTTGTCTCCTTTCTTACCCTCAAATATTACAAATACACTTATTCCTCAGGTCTTTTACCCCTTCTATTCCCTCTGCTTGAAATTGTGTTCCCTCAGATGTTTGTTTGACTTACTTTCATTCTCCCTTTAGGTCTCGGCTCACATATCACAATATTAGTAGGACTTCCCTAATGACCCCCTATCAAATAGCACCTTTCCCTTGACACTTGCTTCATTTTCTATCATGATATATAGCTCTCTTGGTTTATTGTTTTTTATTGTTTTGTTTTGTTTTGTTTTTTCTCTCTGGTTATTTATGAAATGTAAATTCTGTCAGAGTAGGAAATTTGTGTTTCTTAACTACTGCCTCACCACTATCCAGAAAAATGTCTGCCATTTAATAAGCCTCAGTATTATTGAATAAACGAATTAATTCTTCTCTCTCTTCCTCATTATTTAACTTGCTTAATTTTCAGTGAGAGCATTATAAAATAAGTTTAAACAGAAGACAAACTGAAGAAAGAGAAATAATACTTAGCAGATGCCTCCTATTGTTCCCATTGTGGGTTCTAAAATAGAAGAAAGTAGAGTCTGATAATACATTAAAAAAAACAACATTGTAGTAATTACTTGCTAGTGACCTGTTTGTTGGAATTTGAAAAATAATTTCATTTCTCAACATTTTGATATTGATTTGAAAGAGACATATTTTCAGTTATTAAAAAATATGTTCAAGTCAGATATTATAAATTACTATTTTCTTACTTTAAAACAGAATTTTTAGCTGTGCACTAGGCTTCTCAACAAAAGGTTATTTATTACCTCTTTTGCTTGTACGTGACCAGGGGATTATATTCTCGCAAAAAGAGTAATGTTTAGACAATGCATAGGATTTCTGGAGCATGCCCTCATGATCGTGATCATTATTCGACAATGATAAAAAAAAAACACATTCCTTTCTACTTTCTCGTTTTCCCTTTCTAAATGCACATATGATTACAGGATCACCGGCCACTTCAGACCACCAGGTGTAACTCACCTAGAATCTAGGTTCTTAATTTTATACAGCATTTCAGCCCTGCATGAAATTCTACCTGGAATTGTATGTTAGAGGAATAATTCCCATCTTTCAAAGCCACTATGTTCTTAAGCCACTTTGTTACAAAGTGGCTTTGAAAACCACTATATTCAGACTAACCTATATTCAAACTAATAAAACTGCCAACCATTTTATGGCTTGCAAAGATACTGGTTGAAAATGAAATGACTTGTGTTGTTCAGGTTCTTCATGTCTAAAATAATGACTGTTGTTTTCACTTCCATCTATAGTCAGCCTATATAAAAATAGAGAAAAAATCATAAATATAAAGTAAATGTAACACATATATCAAGGAACAGTTGTGCAAGACAATGATCAAAGTAGTTTAAATCACAGGCCCTATAGTAAGACTATGGTTTCAAGTACAAGTTGCAACTAAGGCCTTGAAAAACCTTACCTTTCTAAGGCTAAATATTGTCATCAGAAAAAAATAGAAATATTAGGCCTACCTATATAAATGCCCTTGAGGAGGGTTTGTGAAACATTTAGCGTATCATGCAAAGCATACTATGGGATATATGTAATTCTAATATGTGGCAACTGAGTTATTACTGGTAGAAGTTGTCTATTTAATGCCATAGTGCACATCAATTCACCATGAATAGCCACTGAAAGGTTTTCAAAGGCGCTGGTCATTTTTCCCAAAGACTTGGACTTGGATTATGGAGAAAGTACTGGCATTGTTTTTGTTTGAGAGAGAGAGATATATATATATATGTTATATATATAGTTATATATGTTATATATATATAGTTATATATATCTTATATTGTGTGCAAATGTTATTGCATTTTAAAGCTATATTCTTATTATTATTCAATAAATGCTGATTTTCAACATCTTAGAAGATAATTTCTCAAAAATATTGTTGCTGAAACTTTTATTCCCAAAATATTTTAGGGCAGCAATGTGTGAAAACATAGATATGTACTATAGTTTAAACGCTAAAATAACCAATTGCAAAGGAATTGAGAAGCGGCTATCTTGTCAACATACTTTAGTTAAGATGAGTGAGATGGTTCATTCACCACAAACAAGGAAATACTATAGTAAAACCTAAAATGTATAGCAGAAAGATCAATTCTGTAGCATGTGTAACCTGCAATATGCCTTTCTAATTTGAACTTGTCAAATATATACAAAATACTGTAACATGGTGTGAGGCTAATACATCGATTAAAGATTTAGTAATAAATCATGTGCTGAGAAATAAATTTATTTGAAGGTGAAAATGACATCAGCAAGATGATGTAATAGAAAAGCCCCTGGCAATACTGCCCTGACAAAAATGCAAGTCAAAACTATTCAAAGGCAGGAAAACCATACTGAATACATCAGAACTCCAGGAAGAAGCAGAGAAACTTCCTGGGCCCACAGAATCAAAAGAAGCTACAACCGGTAAGATAAATAATGATTTTAGACTGTACCACTCCCTCCTCTATGTTGGCATAATGCCACTCACAGAAGGTGAGAGAAGAAAATTGGAGGTGGATGTTCAGTCTCCTCACCAGTGTGGAAATCTTGACAGGAAGCACACTTTTTCCCAGTCACAAAAAACTGTCAGAGCCCCAAGAGGGCTGAACCATCTGAGATAAATTAGGGTCAACCACTGGGGTGCACAGCTCTTGGCAACTGTTCAGCACTTTGATCAGTGGGGAATGCCATGTTGAAGAGACTTGTTGGTGTCACAGCACTGCACAGGGCACGACCAAAGGAAGACTCAAATTTCTAGCCTGATTTCCTGTAAAGCCTAGGTGCTCCTGTGACGCCTTTGCCTGGCCTGGAAACAAGTAAAAGGTCAAGACTAAGACCCAGTGCCTGCTAAGTCTTACTAAGACTAGGAAACAATGGCAGGGCAGAAATATAGTTCCAGGGAAGCATTTAAGCTTTAGTGTTCACTGTAAGTCTTCCTCAGACTGGGAAACATTGATACGGCAGTGAGTTAGTTCCAATGCCATACTTCAGTTCTAATGCTCGCTATAAAACCTGCTCAGAATGGGAAGCAACAAAACCTAACTTTTAAGTTCCAATATTAAGAAGTAAAGGTCTAACATGACAGAAGAGCACTTGCAAATCTGAAAGAAGTTGTTATCTCTTCAAATGTACGGGCATCAACATGAAGATGCAAGAATTGTGAAAACTCAGTCCACTAAAGAATCCAACAAAGTTCAAGCAATGGACCCAGAAGAACTGAAGATCTATGAAGTGCCTAATAGAGAATTCAGAATAATCTTCTTAAAGAAGTTTAAGAAAATCAGAGAAAATCACACAAAACATGTGGATAGAAAACTAAATGAAATGTAGAAAACAATTCAGAAACGATATGAGAAATCTCACCAAAAAAAATAAAGAATTGTTTAAACACAAGTAGAGATCTTAGAAAGAAAGTATATAATAACTGCAAAACTTAGTAGAAAGCTTCAATAATAGACTTGGTCATATAGAGGAAAGAATTGGTGAGCTCAAAGAGAGAACTTATGAAATTAGCCAATCAGAGTGGCAAAAAGAAAAAAATAATTCAAAACAGTGAAGAAGACTTACCAGAAGTAAGGAACACCATCAAATCTACTGACCTCCATATAATTGGAATTTCCAAAGGAGATAAAAGAAAATGGCATAAATGGCATATTTAAGAGGACAATACTAAAAAAATTCAAAATCTGGACACAATGGCATATAGGTACAGAAAGCACACAGGTCAGCACTGAAATTCAACCCAAAGAAGATATGCCCAAGCACATAATAATAAAACTAGCAAAAACCAAAGTGAAAGAGAGAATACTCAAAAAAGCAAGAGAAAGGGAAGTATCACATTCAATGGCACCCTAAAATGGCTCTTAGTAGATTTCTCAGCAGAAATCTTGCAGTTTAAGAGTGAGTGGAATGCTATATTCAAACTGCTGAAGGAAAAAACTAACAATCAAGAAAACTATCCCCAGCAAAGCTATCCTTCAAACAAGAAACAGAGAAAAAGACTTTCACATACAAACAAAAGCTGAAAGAAATTATATTTTACAAATCTGTCTTATAAGACATTCCAAAAGGAGTTATTCAATCTAAAATAAAGGAATGCTTACATGCAGCAAGAAAATATCTGAAGGTATAAAACTCACTGATGGATTAGGAAAATGTGGCACATATACACCATGGAATACTATGCAGCCATAAAAAAGGATGAGTTCATGTCCTTTGCAGGGACATGGATGAAGCTGGAAACCATCATTCTCAGCAAATTTTCACAAGATCAGAAAACCAAATACTGCATGTTATCACTCATAATTGGGAGCTGAACAATGAGAACACATGGACACTGGGAGGGGAACATCACACACCAGGGCATCTCTGGGGGTTGGCGGCTAGGGAAGGGATAACATTAGGAAAAATACCTAATGTAGGTGACAGGTTGAGGAGTGCAGCAAACCACCATGGCATGTGTATACCTATGTAACAAAATTGCACGTTCTGCACATTTAACCCAGAACTTACAGTATACACACACACACACACACACACACACACACACACACACACATACCTATATATATATAAGAGAATAGTAAAGATAAGTCTTAACATGTAAATCCTTGGAAGGGGTTTCATTCAAAAAAATGAACTTCCTGTTACAGAACAAATAAGCAATACTTAATCAATTCCTCTTAAAGGTAACATTTGAGAGGGGAGGATAGCAGCTCCTGAAAGGAGAGGAGGTTGAAAGAGAGACTTTTGTGGAAGCCACAGATTCATCTAGATTTGCTGCCCAGTTTCCTCATCCATGTCAAAGGTAAACATTAAAATGAAGCGCATTTCTATTCCTGTTTCTTTTCTGTAAAAGTTTCTAATCCAAGTTGTCATTGGATAGCTTCACTAAATGGGGTGCTGTTTTGTTTTCATTTTTGTTCACAGAAAAATCTTTATTTATGGTCGGCTAGTGAATTTGAATAAATAGGGTTTAAAATGGAAAAATAAACTCACTGATAGAAGCTAGAGAGCAGACAAATTCAAAATATACTAACAGTGTAATTTTGGAAAATAAATAACTTATATCTTAAGTATGATGACTAAAGGAGAAGCTATTGAAAACAAAAAAAAGGCTAGGCGCGATGGCTCATGCCTGTAATCCCAGCACTTTGGGAGGCCTAGGCGGGCAGATCCTGAGGTCAGGAGATCGAGACCATCCTGGCTAACGTGGTGAAACTCTGTCTCTACTAAAAATACAAAAAATTAGCTGGGCGTGGTGGCGGGCACCTGTAGTCCCAGCTACTTGGGACTGAGGCAGGAGAATGGCGTGAACCTGGGAGGCGGAGCTTTCATTGAGCCGAGATTGTGCCCCTGCACTTCAGCCTGGGTGACAGAGCAAGACTCCATCTCAAACAAAACAAAACAAACAAACAAAAAAAACAAAAAAAGCCTTACAGAAATTGGTTAAGAGATTGATAACAACAAAAAAACATGTAAATTGAAATTTCAAAAGATCACAATATGGTGAGGTGCAATAGTATTAAAGTGTAGAGTTTTTTTTTGATACTTTTCTTTGAAATATCAAGTTGTTATGAGTTTAACATAACTTACTATAACTAAAGGATTTTTTAATCCTAATGGTAACCATAAAGTAAAAACCTGTATTACATATACTGAAAATACACAAGACATAATGAAAACAATGCTAGGTAAAAATTAATCACAATAGATGACAATAAGAGAGAAAAAATAAAGGATCTATAAAGCAAACAGAAAAAGTAACAAATGGGCAGTAATAAACACATACTAGTCAATCATAACCTTGAATACAAACTGGTTAAATTCTATGATTAAAAGATATAGAGTGGCTGAGTGAATAAACAGGTAAGACCCAAATCTATGCTATCTACAAATAAACTTACATAACCTATAAAGACATGCACAAACTGCAAGTAAAGAGGTGGAAAAAGATATTCCATGTTAACAGAAGCCAAAAATGTGCAGGAGTAGCTGTCTACATATCAGATAATAAAGGAATTTAAGCCAAGAACAGTAAAAAAAAAAAAAAAAAAAAAAAGACAAGGTAATTATATAAAGTGGTCAACTAAACAAGAGGATACAACAATTGTAAATATATATGCACCAGATAGAAGTGCACCCACATATGTAAAGCATGTATTAATAGTTCGGAAAAGAGTGGCTGCATGCAATAATAGTAGGGGACTTTAAACACCCCACATTCATCAGTGTACATATCGTCCGGAAAAAAATATATACACAAAGAAATATAGATGATAAACAGCATCCTAGAACAAACGGACCTGATAGATATTTATAGAACATTTAATTTCATTCTACAGCTGCAGAATGAACATTTTTTTCCCAACAGCACATTCTCCAAAATAGACTATGTTACACTTAACAAATTTGAAAATACCAAAATTATACCAAGTATCTTTTCTGACCACAATAGAATCAAACAACAAATTAATAATAACATAACTTTGGAAACTATACAGACACATAGAAATTAAACAAGGTGCCACTGAATAATGAGTGGGTCAATGAAGTAATTAAAAAGGGAACAAAAACATTTTTTTGAGACCAACGAAAATGGAAACATAATTTAAAAAATTAGAGGATTATAGCAAAATCAGTTGTAAGAGGAGAGTTTGTGGCAATAAATTCCTACATCTAAAAAGGAGAAAGACTGCAAATAAGCAATTTAATGTTATACTTCAAGGAACTAAATAGGAAAGTTGAGAAAAAAAACTACAAGGAAAATAAATAATAAAGATCATGACAGAAATAAATAAAATTGAGACAAAAAATCATACACAAGATCAACAACACAAAAAGTAGGTTTTTTGAAAAGATAACCAACAAATCTTTACCAAGTTAAATAAGAAAATGAGAAGACACAAATAAATAAAATCAGAGACAAAATAGTAGACATTTTACCACAGATAACACGTAAATACAAAAAAATCACCAGAGACTGTTTTAAATAACTATATACTAACAAATTGAAGAATGTAGAAGAATGGATAAATTCCTGGACACCTACAACCTGAATCAAGATTGAATCAGGAAGAAATAGTAAACCTGAATAGGCCAATAATCTATAACTAGCAGGAAGCAGTAATAACAATTTTCTCATCAAAGAAAAGCCTGGAACCTGATGGTTTCACAACTGACTTCTACCAAACATTTAAAGAACTAATGCCAATCTTCCTGAATCTATTCCAAAAGATTGAAGAAGAGGAACTACTTCAAAGTCATTTATTGAAGCCAGCATTACTCTGGTAACAAATCTAGATGAGGCCACAACTAAAAAGAAAACTGCAGGCCATATCCCTGACTAAAAATAGATGCAATAATCCTCAACAAAACATCAGCAAGCTGAATTAAGTAACCTTAAAGGAAATCATTCAACATGATGAAGTGGGATTAATTTCAGGAATGTAAGAATGATTTAATATACACAAATTAATAAACATGATAGATCACACTAACAGAATCAAGTACAGAACCATATGATCATTCCAATAGATCTGAAAAAGCATTTCACATAATAAAATGTCAGTCATGGTTAAAAAAAAACTCTCAAAAAAACTGGATATAGAAGTGCCATACCTAAGAACAATAAACTCCATATACAAAAAACCTATGGTGAATATTATACTGAACAAGGAAAAATTGAAAGCCTATTCCCTAAAGCTTTGGACTAAGACAAGTATTTCCACTTTTTCCACTTTTATTGAATGTAGTACTAGAAGTTGTGGCCATGGCAATTAGGCAAGAAAAATAAATAAATTGCATTCAAATGGAAAGGAAGAAGTCAAATGATCCTTGTCCTCAGATGACATGATCTTATAGATAAACATGAAAAGTCACCAAAACCTATTAGAACTGATAAACAAATTAAGTAAGGTTGGAGGATACAAAATCAACATACAAAAATTAGTACCATTTCTATACACCAACAGTGAACAATCTAAAAATGAAATCAAAAAAGCAACTGCACTACGATAGCTACAAAAATATCAAATACCTAGGAATATGTGTATTCAAAAAGTGAAAAATTTATGCAATAGCAACTATAAAACACAGATTAAATAAATTGTAAAGAATGCAAAATTTGAAAACTATTTTACACTCATAGTTTGGAAGAATTAATATTATTAAACTTTCTATACTACCCATAGTGACCTACAGATTCAATGCAATCTCTATCAAAACACCAACTATATTCTTCATATAAAAAGAAAAAACTTTTAAATTCCTATGGAAACAAAAACCACCTTAAATATCCAAAGCAATCCTGAGCAAAAAGACCAAAGCTCTAAGCATCACACTAATGGAATTCAAAATATACTACAAATCTGTAGTAACTAAACCAGAATGACACTGGCATAAAAACAAATACATATACTAATGAAACAAATGCAGAATCCATAAGTAAGTCCACACATTTACAGTCAATTGACAAAGATGCCAAGAATATTCATTGAGAAAATGAGAGCCTCTTCAATAAATGGTCCTGAGAAAACTAAATATCTGTGTGCAGAAGAATAATACTAGGCCCTTATTTCTCATCATATACAAAATTTAAATTGAAATGTATTTAAAGACTTAAGTGTAAGACAAACTATTAAAACGTTTTTTTGGTAACCTGAAAAGCTTAGGCAATAAATGCAGAAATAGACAAACAGAATTACATCAAGCTAAAGAACTTCTACAACACAAAGGAAATAAACAACAGTATGAAAACAAAACTGAGGAAACGGGAGAAAAATATTTGCAAACTAGCCTTCTGAGAAGGAATTAATAATCAGAATATATAAGAAACTTAACTTTATAGCAAATAAATAATCCAATTTAAAAATGGTCAAATGATCTAAATAGACATTTATCAAACAAAGACATGCAAATAGCCAACAGGTATATGAAAAAATTTCAATATTACAAATTATAAGACAAATGCAAATCAAAACCACAATGAGATACCTCACCTCAGTGAAAATGGCTATTACCAAAAAGACAAAAATACAGATGCTGGTGAGGATATGGAGAAAGGAAAATGCTAGTATAATCTACAGCATGTAAATTAGTGCAGCCATTATAGAGAACAATATGGAAGTTCCTTGAAAAAACAAAAATAAATCTACTATATGATCCAGGAATTCCACTGTTGGGTGTATATTTAAAAGAAAGGATATCAGACATATCTGCTCTCCCATGTTTATTGCAACACTATTCACAATAGCCATGATTTAACTTAACTGTTCATCAACAGATGAATGGATAAAGAAAATATGGTATTTGTATATATGTACATATATAACATTATAACAATGTATATATCATACATACACACATACAATGGGATATTATGCTATAAAAGAACAAAAATCTCATCATTTTCAGTCATTTATTTAAGTCAGATTACTTAAGTCTTTCTGACAATACAGAAAGACAAATATTGTAAGTTCTCACTCATATGTGAGAGCCAAAAAAGTGAATCTCATGGAAACAGAGATCAGAATTATGGTTACCAGAAGCTGGGAAGGATGATGGAGAGGGGTGCGTGAAAAAAGGCTGGTGAATGAGCATAAAAATACAGTTAGATAGAAGATAAAAGCTGCAGTGTTTAATAGCCCAGTAGGATGACTATAGTTAAATATAACTACATGTTGAAAATATTATATTGCAAGAATAGGGAAAATAGAAAGTTATTTTAAAAAACAAATAATTAAATTATTTTACATGCTGTATGTCTTTGAGAGGCATTATCCAAAATATACTACTTCTTAAATATTTTAAGAACTGAGACAAACTACGATAAGTCAAAATAATTTAAATAAGACTGCATACTGCATAGGTTAATACAACCTAGCTTTCTTTTGTTCTAGAAAATCTTCACACATGAAAGACAAGATTATGTATGAATAAATATCTTCATTATTTGCTTTAGGAAAATCCTACAAGATAAATTTATCAAAGTCTGATCACCTGATGAAATAGCTCACTTATGAGAAAATAGTTTGTCAAGACTTATTTCAATACCCATATTTTGTTATACATAACCAATACTAAACTAGTATATCATAAACTTTTGTTGGTCCCAATCTGTATGAGTTTTGCATCTGGAAAGATCTACCTTAAGTCACCTGAACCAAGATGCAAATATCCAATTTACCGATTTAAATATCTGTAAATATCATGTTTCTGACTTTCCCTTTTTTAGACACTGCTACAACTCTCAAAGTTTTCTTCTCCTACAACATTAGTTCTAATACATTTAGCTTTGCTTCATTAACAGGTATTATGATTTTATTTAAAGAGTTTAACCCCATGAAAGTTGAAGTTAAAGAAAATAGATAAACTTCATTAGCACTTAGCTTATATACAGTGTTAAATTAAAAATAATCACATATTCTTATATTTTAATTTAAAAAATAATACTTGATCATAAAACTAATTATTTTATGTGCAAATACTGGATTTGAGTGCAAACATGACATATATTTAAATGTATATGAATAAATAAATATCTGAATCATTTTAATATTGAGGTACCTATATCAGATATAGTATAACTCATAGGTTTTAACTCAACTACAAACCACAAATTTATTTACTGAAGTTGAATAATTAATTGTCTGTCTTACATGTTTGAAGTTAAAATTATTACAAAATTAATTTAAAATGCCAAGTTACAGTTTGATTTTAAAAGATGTGTGTAATTTTAAACATATTTTAGTATTAAACTACACTTGAACTTAGGCATTTCCCACAAGATTATTTATATATGAAATTTAAATACATATATAAATATGTATATACCATATAGGTTTATTATATATTAAAATATATTTATATATTTATTAAATAGATATAAGTGAGACTCCTGGGAAACTAAAGTTGTATATATAATTTATATATGTGGTTATTTATATATGTATATATAATGCATTTATGTATATATACATATAGGAATATTATATTTATGTTTTATATGTACATATATACATGTGTATATATGTGTATATTTGTGTATATATGTATATGTATGTATATATTCTATTATATATATGCATATATATATTCCTCAGGTTTCTCAGAAGCCTCTCTCATTTATATATATTTAAATACATAATACATATATATGCATGTATTTATATATGTGCATATATACTTGTATAATATATTATATATTATATATAATTATATATAATATAAAATTATAGATATATATTATCTATGTACATACATTATATATAGATATACATAGATAATATAAAATACATAGATAATATATAATTATAAATATAATATATGTACATATAATATATAATATATACATGTATAATATAATATTTATGTTATACATATATGCACATATAAAAACATGTATATACACATATAAATATAATATTTAATACATGTAATAATATTGTAGATCTATGATAGATATTTATATTTATAATATGATAGATATATGATAGATACTTACATGTATATATACACATATACATAAACGTGTATATATAATATATACACACGTATACGTAAACGTGTGTATATAATATATACACACATATACGTAAATGTGTGTATATATTACATATACATACACACGTGTATATATATTTTTTATATATAGGGAGAGGAAGAGAGCAAGACAGCATGTGAGAGCCACAGAATTTTCTACAGAATGGTAGAAATTATATAAAAAGTGATAGAGTAATATGTAAACAAACACTTTGATCACTGTGATTAAAAATCTTTAGTAAACATAATCATCTCATTCATTCATAGAAAAATCAGGAACATTGGTTCATGCTAACTTATGTGTATCTTCATAATTACATTTATTTTAAAAATTGATCAGTACTATAATCTTAGGTATTTTATTTAAATTAGTTCTAATAACCTATTGTTTAAATCTACCTCCAAATAGACATTGTGATTTTGTTTTTTCTTGTTCATATAAACACAAAATTTTATATAATACAAATATACACTTAATCCACATGTATTCACACATATGAATTGAGAATTGTATTAAATGTCTCCCAACAAAAGTGTATGAAACAATTAATTAACTAAATTACAGTCAGCAGGGCGTGGTGGCTCACGCCTGTAATCCCAGCACTTTGGGAGGCTGAGGCGGGCGGATCACCTGAGGTCGGGAGTTTGAGACTAGCCTGACCAATATGGAGAAACCCTGTCTCTACTGAAAATACAAAATTAGCGGGGCATGGTGGCGCATGCCTGTAATCCCAGCTACTCAGGAGGCTGAGGCAGGAGAAGCGCTTGAACCCGGGAGGCGGAGGTTGCAGTGAGCCGAGATCGTGCCATTGCACTCCAGCCTGGGCAATAAGAGTGAACTCCGTCTCAAAAAAAAAAATAAATAAATAAATTACAGTCATACGCCACATAAACACATTTGGGTCAATCTACACAGACTACAGTGGTCTCACGATATTATACTTTCTAAAATCTACCTTTTCTGTGTTTAGATATCTGTAGATACACAAATACCTATATTTGTGTTACAATTTTGCCCACAATAGTAAATACAGTAACATGCTATACATGTTTGTAGCCTAGAAGATATAAACTATAACATCATAGCCTGGCTATGTAGTAGAGTACACAATATAGTTTTATGTAAACATTCTACAATGTTTGCACAATGATGAAATTGTTTGAGACATTTCTCAGTATGTATTCTCATTGTTAAGAAATACATGGGATGTATAGAATTTATATTTAATTCAGTGAGAAACAGTTGATTTTAATTAATTGAATTTTTATTGAATTAATTATTTGTTAACAAGGGCAATATAGATAAATGTAAATATTTGTTGCATATATTTTAAATTTTAAAAAGTAATTAACCATTCACTATTCACCTTATTTAAAATAGTATTCTCCTAATGGCTCAAAAAATTTTTTTTCAACCAAGTGTGGTGGCTCTCACCTGTAATCCCAGCACTTTGGAAAGCTGAACCAGGTGGATTGCTTGAGCCCAAGATTTAGAGATGAGCAACATAATGACCCTGTCTCTACCAAAAATACAAACATTAGCTGGGCATGGTGGTGCACACCATTATTTCAGAATAATCAGAAATAGTACAAAATAGATATAAGTTAATTTCCACATTTTGACTAAAACAAAAAGACTTATGACTTATATTTTCTTCTCTATATTACGCTGTTGTATGAACAAGTCAGTGTTACTTTAAAATTAATTGCAAATGATATTAGAGAATAAAACAAAAATTCTTGTTTATCAAATTCAAGGGTGATCTTTAGCTTTTTGTATTTTATATTTATTAATAAACTAAAATGAGAGAGGCTTCTGATAAACTATATTATTGAAAAAATATTTAATCTTAATATTAGTTAATATTCAATATAATATTAAATTTTTAACATTTAAATTATAAATTACAAAACAATTCTAAAATATAACAGTCGTTTTATTTAAATATATAAATTTTTATGAAAGATATTCATTATTAAACAAATGTTTTCTGAGAGGTGAATGCTATAAAATTAATGATTAATGGAAAAACAAAATGTATTAATCAAATATATATTTTAAAATGTTTAAATATTTAGAGCGATACTTTAAATACAGACAATAGTGAAAATAACTGACATCAATTTACAAGCTTTTTTTAAACAAGACATAAATGATATGCAGTAAGATGTAAAGGCATGCAATACTCTTTCTTCCCTTCTTCCATGGTAATTTTACTTCTGATTTATATCTGGAATATGACCTTCAGAATAAATAGTATCTTTTCTATTCTAAAATATTTATTTGATGGCCATAGCTAGGCATATAAATATGTCTAAGTGATCACCACTGAGATTTACACTTTTGTACAAATCCTCTGTAATGTTCTCAATTTTTTTTCTTGTCTCTTTCCTTTCTTTCTTCTGCCTGCAGTTGTAATGTAATAGCTAAAATGTTAGCAGCTATATTGAATCCTGGAGTGATTTTGAGAATAGAATGTGTGCATATTGAACATACAACAAAAGTACTTGGATTCATACTTGCCCTGGACTGACCTCCTCCTGTTACTTTGAGAACTAGAAAAAAAAATCTTATTTAGCTTAATGCATGAGTATTATAATGACTTTTAATGTTATCACTAAATATATTCCTAATACTTAATTCAACCCAATAAATCAATAAATGTAAAATTTGTGAATATAAAAATTATGAAAGTATGTACAATGGAAGATATGAATAAATTTGATAAATTATATAGAGATCAAAATAATCACAGTTGGTTCCAGAAAGTGACTACTAATAGAAATGTTTCTGGCAAATGCCTTGAGGAAAAACAGAAAAGATATAAGTAAATAATACTAAATATCAAATTGAAAATATTGGAAAATATTAAACAAACTGCAAAATACAAATAAACTGAGCAATTTTCTAGAAAAATATAAATCAGTACTAGGTAGTGTGAATGTCTAGGCTTTCAAGTTCTAGAGACACCACCCTAGTGGGGAAAAGGGAGATGTCTCATTACTGTTGGTGAAAGTGAAAGTCTAAAATCTCCACTCAGTCTTTGCTGATGGTATACACAGTGTTGTTTTCCCCCTCCTCTAACCATATTTTGCTGGAGTAGGACGTTTATTGTTTGAAAAAAGAAGTCTTCTGTCTGGCTAGGCTGCTAATTTTATGGTTCTTTGGCAAGAGGGAACAGGCTTTCTTGTGACTTTTTGTTGACTGTCATTTTACACTTTTGTTTTGGGGCTCCTTTAGCAATCAGCTTTAGATATACAGGATACAAAAATAAAACCCAGAAAACTCATCTCACCACTTTAGATATCGTAAGTCCCAGGGTTCCTAGTCAATCTTCTTTTCTCTGCTTTTAACCCTCTTCTTTTGTTTATTTTATATATAATGCTTAGGGTGTTTTGCTGTACTTAGTGGGAGGTACGGGAAGAAATACTTCTACTCCATCTTGTCCAAAACTGGAAGATGTATTAGATACTTGTCTGGTCTGTTGCAGTGTTGTCATCTAAAAAGTCATTCCTAGTTGACTCGTTATGAGCTAATTTATAGGAAGAACTCATACTAGGGGTTGGGTTGGGTGGCAGCCCAAACAAATGAGAAATAAGATTATCAATATCATTTTGTAGCAGCTGTATTAATCACCAACTTAGTCTACTTTTCTTCATGTTTCTTATCCAACACAAACAATGCAATTACTTTTTAGTGACCTTATTCCTTATGGTACTCCTAGGTGTGTTTATCAAAACACGCTCACCTCAGACGCTTAATGATGGTTTTTCTTTGAACATTCTTTCAAAATGTTCAATGAGGAGATGCAGATTTGGCAATGGGTCAATTTACCAATCCGGTTTTGGCTTGCATATTAAATCTACATATTCCTTTCTAAGGGTGGTCATAAAAAGTGAAGGGAAAGCTGTTATCACATCTTCTTCAGAGTACACTCTTGAATGTTGTTTGGTGGTGGCAAAAATATCAGTTCTCACATTTTCAATGGATTCATCCTTTCTTTAATTGCAGAACTGAATTAGAATACAATTTGTTTTTACAAACAAAAAGTTTAGATAAAGCCTTCAAAAGATGTTTAGTATTACATTGTTCTAAACCCTTCTAGTGTTCCATGTAACTTGGAGTCTTATAAATCATCCTCAGAACATTCCCATTCTGTCTTTATCTTCCCCTTTTTTTTTTGAGACAGGGTTTCTCTCTGTAACCCAGACTGCAATTTGCTCATACAAAAAGTTTCTCAAATATGCTGATTCTCAGTTTTCCTCCATGAAATTGTGCCATATTGAAAGACGAACACAAGAATTAGGGTCATAGTTTGTACACAGGAAGCAGTAATCTGAACCAGGCGGTACTTAAATTTAGAATGATGCAGATTTGTGAGACATGTCTGCAAATCGTCCTTTGGATGTGTTGCTTGTGCACTTTATGACTCAGGTCCCTATACTAATGTATGGTCACTTCCATTGCAGATCTAATAAACCTTCAATTTCAAACAGATGAAATTTTATATTAAAGACTACTTCCAGAACAGACAGTCAGGGACAAACAAACAAAAAGGAAATTCCTCATAAGATTTTGAGAGTTAAATCAAAGAAAATTTGTGTGTAAAAAACAATGTTTTGTTGAAACAAAATTAATCAGTCTTCACATCCAGCTTGAGATGTGGCCTTGAAGCTTTTATGTTCATACTCACCTTCCTTATGGCTTTCCTCTTAGTGACTTAGCAAAATGTGGCAAGGACAGATAGGAGTGTTGTTACTAATAAGGCTGATTTTTCCCAAGATAAGAGTTTTTATATATGATTAGATAATCAAAGGATTCCCAAAAGTGTTGCTTATTCCTAGGAAGATATTTGGGAGCTTGACAAAAAGTATTTAGAGTTCAGACACAATACAATACTATGTTATTGTCACTATCAGGGGGACCTCTGGTTGAAAGATTAAAAAAGGCCTTCAATGGAGTGCACAGTACCAAGCTGGGAATTTTAGGCTGTAGCAGGGAAAGTGTGTTGACCAGATCTCTGTGTGGCTTCTAAGATGGTCCTCACCTGGACTCCCAGAAAGCCACACAAACAACCATTACTCAAGCAAAACCAAGTTTATTAAACTTCCTTTAATAAGAGAGAACACTGAGGTCTGTTCCAAGATGGCCAAATAGGAACAGCTCTGGTCTGCAGCTCCCAGCGTGATCAGTGCAGAAGGCAGGTGATTTTGGCATTTCCAGCTGAGATACCTGGTTCATCTCATTGGGACTGGTTGGACAGTGGGTACAGCTCACAGAGGGTGAGCCAAAGCATGGTGGGGCGTCGCCTCACCAGGAAAGCACAAGGGGTTGGGGGATTTTCCTTTCCTAGCCAAGGGAAGCTGTGAGTGACTGTGCCTGCAAAAACAGGACACTGCCACCCAAATACTGCACTTTTCCCATGGTCTTAGCAACTGGCAGACCAAGAGATTCTCTCCAGTTCCTGGCTCTGTGGGTCTCATGACCACAGAGCCTTGCTCACTGCTAGCACATCAGTCTGAGATCGACCTGCAAGGCTGAAGCCTGGTTGGGGGAGGGGTGTCCACAATTGATGAGACTTGAGTAGGTAAACAAAGCAGCTGGGAAGCTCAAACTGGGCAGAACCCACCACAGTTCAGCAAGGCCTACTGCCTCTATAGACTCCACCTCTGTGGGCAGGGCATAACTGAACAAAAGGCAGCAGAATCTTCTGCAGACTTAAACGTCCCTGTCTGACAGCTCTGAAGAGAGCAGTGGCTCTCCCAACATGGTGATTGAGCTCTGAGAATGGACAGACTGCCTCCTCAAGTGGGTCATGACCCACTTGTGGCCTAACTGGGAGACACCTCCCAGTAGGGATAGACAGACACCTCATACAGGCAGGTGCCCCTCTGGGATGAAGCTTCAAGAGGAAGGATCAGGCAGCAATATTTGCTGTTCTGCAATATTTGCTGTTCTGCAGCCTCTCCTGGTGATACCCAGGCAAACCGGGTCTGGAGTGGATCTCCAGCAAACTCCAACAGACCTGCAGCTGAGGGACCTGATTGTGAGAAGGAAAACTAACAAACAGTGAGAAATAGCATCAACATCAACAAAATGGACATCCACACCAAAACCCCATCTCTAGTTCACCAACATCAAAGACCAAAGGTAGATAAAACTGCAAACATGGGGAGAAACCAGAGCGCAAAAGCTGAAAATTCTAAAAACCAGAGTGACTCTTCTCCTCCAAAGGATTGCAGCTCCTCACCAGCAATGGAAGAAAGCTGGATGGAGAATGACTTTGATGAGTTGACAGAAGTAGGCTTCAGAAGGTTGGTAATAACAAACTTCTCCAAGCTAAAGGAGCATGTTCTAACCCATTGCACGGAAGCCAAAAACCTTGAAAAAAAGGTTAGACAAATGGCTAACTAGAATAAACAGTGTAGAGAAGACCTTAAATGACCTCATGGAGCTGAAAACCATGGCACGAGAACTACATGGCGCATGCAAAAGCTTCAGTAGCCGATTAAGTGGAAGAAAGGGTATCAATGATTCAAGATCAAATTAGTGAAATAAAGTGAGAAGACAAGTTTAGGGAAAAAAGAGTAAAAAGAAATAAACAAAGCCTCCAAGAAATATGGGACTCTTTGAAAAGACCAAATCTGTGTTTGATTGGTGCACCTGAAAGTGACGGGGAGAATGGAACCAAGGGGAGAATGGAACCAAGTTGGAAAACACTCTTCAGGATATTATCCAGGAGAACTTCCCCAACTTAGCAAGGCAGGCCAATATTCAAATTCAGGAAATACAGAGAACACCACAAAGATACTCCTCGAGAAAAGCAACCGCAAGACACAATTGTTAGATTCACCAAGGTTGAAATGAAGGAAAAAATGTTAAGGGCAGCCAAAAAAGGTTGGGTTACCCACAAAGGGAAGCCCATCAGACTAACAGCAGATGTCTCCGCAGAAACTCTACAAGCCAGAAGAGAGTGGGGGCCAATATTCAACATTCTTAAAGAAAAGAATTTCAACTCAGAATTTCATATCCAGTCAAACTAAGCTTCATAAGTGAAGGAGAAATAAAATCCTTTACAGACAAGCAAACGCTGAGAGATTTTGTCACCACCAGGACCAGGCCTGCCTTACAAGAGCTCCTGAAGGAAGCACTAAACGTGGAAAGGAACAACTGGTACCAGCCACTGCAAAAACATGCCAAATTGTTTTTAAAGACCATCGAGGCTAGGAAGAAATTGCATCAATTATTGGGCAAAATAAGCAGCTAACATCATAATGACAGGATCAAATTCACACATAACAATATTAACCTTAAATGTAAATGGGCTAAATTCCCCAATTAAAAGACATAGACTGGCAAATTGGATAAAGATTCAAGACCCATTTGTGTGCTGTATTCAGGAGACCCATCTCACATGCAGAGACACACATAGGCTCAAAATAAAGGGATGGAGGAAGATCTACCAAGCAAATGGGAAGCCAAAAAAAGCAGGGGTTGCAATCCTAGTCTCTGATAAAACAGACTTTACACCAACAAAGATCAAAAGAGACAAAGAAGGCCATTACGTAATGGTAAAGGGATCAATTCAACAAGAAGAGCTAACTATCCTAAATATATATGCACCCAATATAGGAGCACCCAGATTTATAAAGCAAGTCCTTAGAGACCTACAAAGAGACTTAGACTCCCACAAATAATAATGGGAGACCTTAAAACCCCACTGTCAATATTAGATAGATCAGCAAGACAGAAGGTTAACAAGGATATCCAAGACTTGAAATCAGCTCTGCACCAAATGGACCTAATAGACATCTACAGAACTCTTCACCCCAAATCATCAGAATATACATTCTTCTCAGCACCACATCACACTTGTTCTAAAATTGACCACATAATTGGAAGTAAAGCACTCCTCAGCAAATATAAAAGAACAGATATCACAATGAACTATCTCTCAGACGACAGTGCAATCAAATTAAAACTCAGGATTAAGAAACTCATTCAAAACCATACAACTACATGGAAACTGACCAACTTGCTCCTGAATGACTACTGGATAAATAACAAAATGAAGGCAGAAATAAAGATGTTCTTTGAAACCAATGAGGACAAAGACACAATGGACCAGAATCTCTGGGACACATTTAAAGCATTGTGTAGAGGGAAATTTATAGCACTAAATGCCCACAAGAGAAAGCAGGAAAAATCTAAAATCAACACCCTAACATCACAATTCAAAGAACTAGAGAAACAAGAGCAAACAAATTCAAAAACTGGCAGAACTCAAGAAATAACTAAGATCTAAGCAGAACTGAAGACAATAGAGACACAAAAAACCCTTCAAAAAATCAATGAATCCAGGAGCTGTTTTTTGGGAGACATCAAATTGATAGGCCACTAGAAAGACTAATAAAGAGAGAGAAGAATCAAATAGACACAATAAAAAATGATAAAGGGGATATCACCACCGATCCCACAGAAATACAAACTGCCATCAGAGAATACCATAAACACCTCTAAGCAAGGAAACTAGAAAATCTAGAGGAAATGGATAAATTCCTGGACACATACACCCTCCCAAGACTAAACCAGGAAGAAGTTGAATCTCTGAATAGACCAATAACAGGATCTGAAATTGAGGCAATAATTAAGAGCCTACCAACCAAAAAAAGTCCAGGACCAGATGGATTCACAGCCAAATTCTACCAGAGGTACAAAGAGGAGCTGGTACCATTCCTTCTAAAACTATTCCAATCAGTAGAAAAAGAGAGAATCCTCCTTAACTCATTTTATGAAGTCAGCATCATCCTGATACCAAAGCCTAGCAGAGACACAACAACAAAAAAAAGAGAATTTTAGACCAATATCTCTGATGAACATCTATGTGAAAATCCTCAATAAAATACTGGAAAACCAAATCCAGTAGCACATCAAAAAGCTTATCAATCAGGATCAAGTCGGCTTCATCCCTGGGATGCAAGGCTAGTTCAACATACGCAAATCAATAAATGTAATCCATCACATAAACAGAACCAATGACAAAAACCACATGATTATTTCAATAGATGCAGAAATGGCCTTCGACAAAATTCAATAGCTCTTCATGCTAAAAACTCTCAATAAACTAATTGATGGAATGTATCTCAAAATAATAAGAGCTATTTATGACAAACCCACAGCCAATGTCATACTGAATGGGCAAAAACTGGCAGTATTCCCTTTGAAAACCAGCATAAGACAAGGGTGCCTGAAAACCAGCACAAGACAAGGATGCCCTCTCTCACCATTCCTTTTCAACATAGGGTTGGAAGTTCTGGCCAGGGCAATCAGGCAAGAGAAAGAAATGAAGTGTATTCAATTAGGAAATGAGGAAGTCAAATTATTCCTGTTTGCAGATGACATGACTGTATATTTAGAAAACTCCATCATCTCAGCCCCAAATCTCCCTAAGCTGATAAGCAAATTCAGCAAGGTCTCAGGATACAAAATCAATGTGCAAAAATCACAAGCATTCCTATACACCAATAACAGACAAACAAGAGAGCCAAATCATGGGTGAACTCCCACTCACAATTGCTACAAAAAGAATAAAATACCTAGGAATCCAACTTACAAGGGATGTGAAGGACCTCTTCAAGGAGAACTACAAACTACTGCTCAACGAAATAAAAGAGGAAACAAACAAATGGAAGAACATTCCATGCTCATGGGTAGGAAGAATCAATATCGTGAAAATGGCCATACTGCCCAAGGTAATTTATAGATTCAGTGCCATCCCCATCAAGCTACCAAAGACTTTCTTCACAGAATTGGAAAAAAAAAAAAAAAAACTACTTTAAAGTTCATATGGAACCAAAAAAGAGCCTGCATTGCCAAGACATGGCACATGTATACCTATGTAAAAAACCTGCACATGTATCCTAGCATTTAAGGTGGAATAAAAAATTTTAAAAATAAAATAAGAGAGAACACCATCTTGCCATAGTTTTAAATATTCTTGTAAGAAGCTGGTTGGCCAGGGGAATATATTTATACTGTTTCAGTCTGTACTCAAGTGGTTTAAGAGGTTTCAAGACAAGAAATATTAGAATTAGGCAAAGTCGATGACATAATAATTTAGGTCTGATGGATACTACAAGGTGATCGTGAAGTGAATATTGTTTGGTAAGTCAGTTGTTTGCTGAGCTTAGTCTTTAAGTAAAAAGATTTTCTGGGTACAAAAGTTGTTTGCTGACAATAAAGCTATTTATTGGCTTATAGCCTTAGCTTTCCGGTCAATAAATCCCTGAAACAGTTATTTCATGTTGACATACATGGTTATGTTCATTAATTCTGATAATCAAGTTATGTGGATGTTGGTGATTGACTGTAATTCTCAACACTAAGGACAGCTCATAAAAGTAGTTACTTGGGAAGCTGAGGCAGAAGCCCAGAAGTTTAAGGTTTAAGGCTATAGTGAGCTATAATCATGCCAATAAATAGCCACTGCACTCTAGTCGTGCAAACATAGTGAGATTGTTTTGTTTTTTTTTTTAAAGGTGGTAGGAATATTGATTTTGACTACATTAAATCTTTTATGAAATAAAACACACAAATAATTTGAAAGATAATTCTAGACTATAAGAAGATATCTATATCACATAAAATAAATGATTATGATCATGTATATATTAATAAGTTGTACAAATCAGTAAGAAAAATATAAATATGTTTTGCAGATAAAGGAGTCTGAATAGTCATCAATAGATGAGTATTTATTCAACTTATCTGGTAATCTGAGAAACACAAACTAAAGAAATATCAAGCAATAAGCATAAAATTGGTGTAAGTTAATATTATAAAATTTACATGAAATGAAATGTTAACTGCTGATAAGAATATGAAGAAGTGTTAACTCTCATACTCAATAGTGTGACTATAAGTTGGCATTATCATGCTGAGAATATTTTCCTATCTTGTAGAATTTAATATAAAGAATTTTATTATAAAACAATGCTGATGTCATGTCGATACAATGATATCTCTTGAGTATGAGTTTAAGGAAACATATTCATGAAAAGTGAGTGAAGAATTATTTCCAGTGGTAAAAATATAAATATACTAAGCAACTATCAATAGAGTAAAGGAAAAATAAAATATGAGATATTCTGAAATTTAAATTTTACATAGCACTTAAATTTTATGAACATGACCTATTCATGTTTACATGGATGACATGTGTGAAAGAAAGTTCAGAGGTATACTTTGAGTATATTTCTGAGTATTGTGCAGTTTATGTAAATATTAAAATCTCAAATTAAGATCTTTAATGGATATATACTACAAATTGTAGTGAAATATACAAGCATTGACAAAGCATTTAAACCCAAATCCTTCAGGATCAGGATTTTGTTAGTAGAGAGAGGAGAATACATTTCAATGGAAAATCTAACTAATTTTTAATAGATCTATAAATATGACTTAATCTTAGTACTTGTTAAATTTGAAAGTTAAAAACAAGACTGTTATTAAATTTCTGTCTTCACTTTTTTGTTTACTTCAAATATTTCGTGATTTAAATTTTTTCTTGAAAAACATTGATTTAGGATACAAAATAGAAGAACAAAAATAATATTTCAGAAACAAATTTGTATATGTGCAAAGATTTGTGACCAAAGATGGCTCTTGCTGTTTTGTGAAAGAACTATTTAAGAAATCTCAAACACTAAGCAATGAGGAAAAGCAGGAAACGACCTATATTGCTTTCAAATAATAGGCAGGTATTAAGAACAATGTGTTAGCTCTTGGACAAACTAAGGAAGATTAAACAAGCCCACATTATGCAATGTGTTATTCCAGGGGTCCCCAACTCCTAGGCTGTGGAGGTATGTGGCTAGCCTGTTAAGAACCACACTGCACAGTCATGGATGTGAGCCAGGATGAGAGGGATAAGGGGGTGAGCAAGCATTACCACCTGAGCTTCACCTCCTGTCAGATCAGCAACAGGATCAGATTCTCATAGGAGCCCAAACCCTACTGTGAACTATGCATGCTAGGGATCTAAGTTGTGCAGTCCTTACAAGAATCTATCTAATGCTTGATGATCTGAGGTGGAACAGTTTCATCTCAAAACCATCCACCACCCCCATCCTGAGAAAAAATTGCCTTCCAGGAAACTGGTCTCTGGTGCCAAAAAAGTTGGGGACTGCTGTGTTATTCCATTTACTTTAATATATACAGTATACATTTTTTCATCAAATGCTGAAATATCTTGTATACGAAGCCTTAATATGAGGATGTGTGTATCTCTTCTTAAACATTTGAAATGAATATAACAAGCTGTTAATAGCACTTATTTCTGGGAAGTGGATTGGATTGGATATGAAGAGAATTAATTACTTATTATTCTTTTAATAATAACTTTAAAAGTTTTTTTTTAAACTCAAAAACACACAATAAAAGAAATGAGTACAAGAAAGGTGGAGTATACATTTACAAGCCAAACTTGAGTATTTTGTCTTTTTTTCCCTAATTCTCATTTACAAGGACATTTTCAAAGATGAGGTTTGCCTTTACTCAACCCATTAATTAATAATCCATTAAGAAGAAAATCAATTCTGAATTTCCATAGACAAACTGACACTGAAGCATAAATGAGGATTTTTATAGGACATGTCATGTCACAATGCTGTACAGTGGCTTTCAATGCTTTGAATCCAGATAAAGAAGCCAAATTGCTGGACACAATGTGATCATTTTGATACAAAACTTCGTATATTGAACTATCACATCTTACAATAAAGAAATAACTATCATTTTGTTGTTTCTATTTTTGTCTTGTATTTAAAGCTGTAAAATTTGAATCTGGGGATTTATTTTATTTTTTAAAACAGAACCTTCAGAAGAAAGTGTTCAGTAATTAGCTCATGTTAGTTTCAGTTGCTGGATTGATTCCCAGGTCTTAGCCTTCTCTCCTGTGGGAAATTTTGATCATAAAATTCAAAGGCTGACCTTGGTTTTGATTTTATAAGGAATATTATATTCAATTCGACCTTCACAATCTAGATGGAAGGAAGATGAAAGGCTTAGCTGAAATTGAACACTATGCCTACAGTCCAAGAAAGAAAGAAAATAAAAAGTTAAACTTTCAGAATAATAAATTATACATGAGAAGATACATGCTAATAGTATAATCTGAAGTCACCAGATTTTCTGCATTATGTGAACTTGTAGGTGGTATATTATTTGAAAGGTAATAATGTCTAAAAAAACAGTGAATAGCTTTATGGAGGAAAAAAGTTTTCTTAATTTTATAATTTCACATTGTACAAAACACTTGCACAAATTATTTCTATACAAATGGTAGCTTAAATTACCAGAATTTTAGATATTATTTAACTTATTTTTGTACATGTGCAAGTGCTATACACACTATTTTGTCTTTATAGAAATTGATAAAAGTTTATTGAGAAAGTATCTATAGGCATGTACTTATTTAAAACCTCATTCTAGGAAAAATTACCAAGTACTAATTTTTTAAGGAAAGTATTCTTTGTATCAATTGATAATCCTGTGACCCATTTTTTTTAAATGTCACTTGTTTTGATTAAAATATTGCCAAACACTCTCATTCACAATTGAAACTCTTTAAAATTTAGATTTTAAAAATATGCTATGATAATTGGAGTTTTGTAAGAAATAAAAGTAAAAAAAAATTAAAGCATGGTATAGGACAGCAGGTAAAACATCTTATCAGTTTGCCAAGAAAAAGATAATTTGTCACATTCTGAGGGAATAAACTTTTTGTCATCTTTAAGTGCCAAGAACAAGGTGGTTTCTGTCCTTGATGTCCCTTTTACCCTTGATCAATATTTTTATTTTTTATTACATTAATGTCAAAATTGCTTCCTTTGAGAAAGAGCAAAATGGTGTCATCTGGATACCACACCCCATAACCTCACTGGTGAACAGTGCAGCTCTGCCCAGGATCAGGCTATCCCATGCCAACAGTTGATCCTAAAACATGAAAATCTACTTTGCTTCATAAATTATTACTAACATTATTATTTTTTATTTAAAATATATTCTACACTTTTAAAGTATTTTCGTATTTGTGAGTAGTCACAGCTTGATTATGGAAACAGAGTAGTGTAACCAGAGGATGACATACTGCAAGAATTACATATTCATTCCCCAGTATTTGAGTGTAAATGAAGCCTGAATCATAAAAGTTATATGCCGAGATTCCAAATAAACAATGTCAGAGTAAATTTTCCTATGAATGTCAAATTGGACATTTTCTGATTTGATGCTGTGTCAGTTTTGTAAAGTGTTCATCACAGTGGCAGAATAATTTAGAAAAGTCAGCTGTGTTCTGATAATCAGTAATAGGTATGTTTCCTTATTCATTCCAAGATGATAGATATGAACATATATGTTTTTGCTTCAGGTTCTGTCATAACTCAGACTGAAGTTTAAGTTAAAGAAAAATACCTCTACCCTCAATCCCCATCCAGATTTCTCCTCTTAAAAGCCTATAGCTAGTCATTAAAGCAATAAATATTTAATGATTGCTTAATAAGTTCTCAATGATTTTAGGAATAATGTAACCGTGATAGGACCCTAGACATGTAAGATACAGAGAAATAAATATAAAAATGAGGCTGTAAATTATAATGAAAAGTGAGAAAGTTTTCATGTATAATATACATTTATTTCATTTGGTGTCAACGTTAGTGATAATGACTACAGTAATTGTTCATAAGTATTAAGTTTTTATGGTGTGTCCTATACTGGGATATATAATTTACACATATTATCTATGCAATGCTCATAATCACAACATGATGATTCTAATATTATAGCTGAGATAAAAGTGAAACTATGACATTAACTAATTTGCAAGTAAATGTTGGAACCAAAATTTTAATTCAAGATCTGCCTAAACACAAAAAGAGACATAGGTAATCATTGAGATATTATATATGTATACAGACATAATCAAATAGAGCAAAGGAAAAAAATAATGTTATTACAATACAGTACTGCCTTTAATTTAAAGGACATTTAATATGTATGAAGAAAATAAAAAGATAATCCTTTCAGATGGAGGAATTAAAAAGAAGGAGAATGCCAAGTTCGAGATATAGAAGTGGACTTAGGTGAAGTTTTTATAAATCTTTTAAAGACTGGGAAATCAAAATGACAACAGACCCATGACCTACTTCCTTGCACTAGCCAGAGTATATGTGGAAGACCAGCTTTGGTACATTAAAGAAGTCTCAAGCAGAGATACTTGACAAAATCCCTGGCACACAATATGACCCAAAAGCAGGGGAGCCACCTGACATTAAGGAAGACTGAATATTTGGAAAATGGGCACACCAGAGGTATCTGATGTAGACCGATGACACACGGGCTTTCCTCATATGTTACTACATGGCATGAGACCCTTGTAAGTATCACCTCTTCCTGATAGTCTGGGAGAAGGTTCTCTTTAAGACTGAGACTGAATTTCTACCATCTTGGTGGGATGATTTAAATTCTATTTCAAAAAGTGAAAGGAATGCAGTATGTATATTCATAAGTTATGGTGTAAAATTCTTATTTTCTAATTATGGAAGCTTCATCATCAAATGGGTTACAATTACAGTGCAGTAAATTTTTAATAAGAAACTAAATTATAACACTAATAATTGGAAATGGTTATTTTTGAGACAATGGGTGTGACCCTGATGGAGAATTTATGCATAAACATAAATGTCATATTTCATAATTTTTAGTGGATGGAGAATTATCAGCAAACTATGATAAGAGGAATTCTGAAACATTGTTATATATGACTTTGCCCAATCCTAGTGGACATAGAGTGTTCAGCAGATATATGTACAAGAATGAGGAAAGGTCTCCTTATAGGTTTCTGATAGTATTAAATTTGTGATTCCCAATAAATTCTAAAGAAAAGAGGGGTAAGGAATATGCTTTTTAAATTTTCTCTAAAATCGCATTTTAAAACAAACAAAAATAAACAGCTCTTCTATAAAATGAAGGAACAAGTAATGCCCAAAGTTATCAATGTTCTGGAAAAAAAGGCCACCTTTGTTTTCCTCATTGGAAAATATCACAGAAGTTAGGCGCTCACAGTTTGCAAAGATCACCAAGACCATGGGGGAAATAACAAAACAGTAGAATTTCTGATGTTTTACAGAAATGAAATTCCTTTGTTTGGATAGCAGATATTTGAATCTTGATTATGGCATTTTGTTACCATTCTGAGGCATTTGAAAATATGCAGGAAGTACTAATAGTGTGTTTCCTTGTTGTGTCAGGGTGAAAGTGTGTATGTGCAGAAAGCAATGGCATTGGTGCAATGGCTTTAGAAGATCAGCTTTAAATTTTAAACCAAGATAAAAGTACTCAAAACATGAAAATATTCAGTGAAAGTGGCTTAATAGCTGAACATTTTAAGTTTTTAATGCCCTGTAAAATCTGGAAGAACTCAGATTAAATTCCTAAAGTTTTACCAGAAGCTAGAGAAATAGTGATTTTGTGTAATATTGAGGCTAGAGACTTATAGACACTGGATCTGGGAGTTTTGGAGCTAGGAATACAAATCCCACATAGAACATGTGCGTATTGGGATAAAACTGGGCACAACAGTCCTCTGAAAGTTCTGCTTAATTTAAAGGTTGTCTTCTGCTTCTTTCAATTGCTGAAAATAGTAAATTGAGATAAACCATCTCTCTGAGTAATTAAGCCTTGACCACTTCAAAGACACCAGACACTGCCAGTGCACATAAAGACTAGTTACACAAATTACAACTTTGAGGCATTTATATCCCCTCAGAAGCCTATTGTTTAGATAATTGAATCCTGGAACCTTAAAATAAAAAATAATATTTATTTTTCTAATAGCACAAAAACATATAAATAAAAAGAATAAATTTTGCACAGTTGTTTGCTGTTGGTCGTTTTAATGTGGATTATTTTCATCACCTTGTGTATGTTTTCTTTTCTTGTCAATATTTCTATTAAAATATATATTCCTTTCATACTTTAAAGTATTTTTATTTAAATGTTTGATCTTTGTTTACTATAAAGCATAGTTGAAACATGTTGTTTGGACTAGGATTTTAAGAGTGTTTCAAGAATGAAAGGGGGCTTAAAGTTTGATCTAACACTAATGCAAGACTAGTAATTTTGTCATACAGAGACACACAATATGTATTTGAATACAGGATGATGTATTGATATTATAAAATTTTATTTAACAAAACAGATATTACTGAATCCTTTGTCTAGCCATATCTATTCTAAATTTCTCTAGGGAACTAAACGTGAGAGGAACAGTGACAAATGCAAAATCAAAAATGCATTTATGGATAAAATCATGCAAGACATAAAAATATTTCAGTCAATGACACACTGCATATAAGATGGTGGTCCCATAAGATTATAATACTGTATTTTTACTGGATTTTTTCTATATTTAGGTGTTTTTAGATACGCAGATACTTACCATTGTGTTGTAATTATTTATAATATTCAATATGGTAACATGCTGTACAGAATGATAACCTAGGAGCCATAGGCTATATCATATAGCCTAGATTTATAATAGGCTATACCATTTAGGTTTATGTTAAGTATATTCTGTGATGTGTGCACAATGAGAAAATTGCCTAATAATACAATTTTCAGAATCTTCTTCTGTTGTTAAGTAATGCATGACTGTGTCTAGTTGTGGGAAATATCCAAAGCAGAGATTCATTCATAGTCAGGGCATGAGTTTTGGTCTTAAAGCCCTGCCATTAATCCCAGTTTACCAAAAATCTCTCTCTAGCTATATGACTAGCTTTTTTGTGCTGCTATACCCACAAGGTGAGACCTCATAAGATTTCATTTAATCCCATGTGAAAGAAATGAGAGAAAGAGGGGCTACATTCAATGACATGTAGAATTTTGCAATATCCTCAATACAGGCTGTTTTTAAAGACATAGCATTCTACCATGAAATAAAACTGAAGAGTTAGTCTTTACTGTTCAGGAAAAAAGAAAAAAAGAGTAGTAAGATATAATTTGGTAGGCTTGTATTTGAGATATTTCTGGTTATTCACAAAAATGTAGTTTAAGAAAATATTTGCATGTCTTAACACTGTAAATTTATGACAGATTCTTAACTCACAATAGTTCTTGAAAAATGCTTACTATTAAGTGAAATAGTAATCTAGTAAGAGATGGCATCAATGTAAATCAACCATTATTTCAAAACAACATCAACAGCCATGCTTTAAGAAAATTTAGAAAGGTTATAAAACATCATATGTGTTATATTAGAAAGTCCTTTATTGAAGCAAGGGCACTCTATCTCACTTGGGCACAAAAGGAGGAAAGATATACAAACTAGGGATAACCGAGTGACTTGCATAGATGACCATAAGTTGTGAATGAATAATTTGACTATGTTTTGCACTCTTTTATTTCATAAACAGATATTGTAGTTATATTTTCATAGAATATTCTGCTTAAGAGTATGTTCATTAATTTATTCATTCATCCACTACTTATTGATTACTTTAGATAAAACTTTTAAGAACTTGGGTACAGTGTTTAAAAGAACAAAAAGAGTTCCTGCTGTCACAAATATTAAATGTGAGGAGACATTTACCCAATCTATTGATAAATATGTGCAATAAGATAGCACCAGAGAGTAGTGAGATAGAGAAGGGGCACGGGAAAATGTCAGGCATTTCCTCTATAAGAAGGTGACATGTACATGTTGCACAATGCACAATAAATAGAAAAACAGAAAAAAATGAACTATAAAATATATGTACACTCTTAATTGTTTGCATATGTAATCTATTTATCAGGGGAATGTGTTAGGCTTTATAATTCTCATTTTAAGGAAAGCAAACTCATTTAACTTCCTCAGTGATATGGTTTGGCTCTCTGTCCCCACCCAACTCTCACATAAAATTATAATTTCTAGTGTTGGAGGAGGGGCCTGGTGGGAGGTGACTGAATCTTGGGGGTGAACTTTCCTCTTTCTGTTCTAGTGATACAGTTCTCATGAGACGTGGTTGTTTGAAAGTGTGTAACACTTCCCCCTTTGCTTGCTGTCTCTCCTGCTGGCTATGTGAATATGTGCCTGCTTCCCCTCCCATTCCACCATGATTGTAAGTTTCCCAAGGCCTTCCCAGAAGCAGGAGCCTGTATAGACCACTACAGAACCATGAATCATGAACTGACTAACCCTCTTTTCTTTACAAATTACTCAGTCCCAGATATATCTTTTTTTTTTTTTTGGCAGAGTCTCACTCTGTCACTCAGTGCAGTGGCATGATCTTGGCTCACTGCAGCCTCCACCTCCCAGGCTCAAGGAATTCTCCTGCCTCAGCCTCCCAAGTAGCTGGGATTACAGGCACAAGTGACCATGCCCGGCTAATTTTTGTATTTTAGTAGAGATGGGGTATCACCATGTGGGCCAAGCTGGTTTTGAATTCCTGACCACAGGGGATCTGCCTGCCTCATCCTCCCAAAGTGCTGAGATTATTGGAGTGAGCCACTGTGCCCAACCTCAGATGTATCTTTATGGTAGTCTGAGAATGGATTAATACATTCAGATAACACAGTCCAATATAATATAGGAAAAATACACACACACAGCAGAGAAGGTTGGGCTAAAATATTGAACTGATTTTAAACCAAGCAGACAAACTAAGATATTTTTCTGGGAGAAATAGGATTTTATAAAGTTATTTTCTGACGAGCAATTGGGAGGATGGTAGTGCCATATTTTACAATGAGAAAGACAAAGAAATTATAAGATTTGCGAGTATCAAAAACTTTATGGTTGACATGTGTTCTTAAAATACTTTTAAAACAATTCAGCAGAAATTTCTAAGGCAGTTGGATAAACAATTCCAGAGCTCCGGGAGAGGGATAAATTAGAAATATAATCTTGTGGAGCATCCACATAAATAATATTACTTAGGAAGATTAAAGAGACACTGTTAGAGTCCAAAAGAGATTCCTGAGAATTTAACACTGAGACGTATAAGTAGAAAAGAGGAGAAACCTGTAAGAATAGCAGAAGAAATGGTCAGCATGGTGCTAGGAAAATTGATCAATGCCAGAAGTCTAGAGAAAAAAGCATTTCACATCAGAATATATAATAACTCAGGTGAAGAGGTGCAGGAAGATTGATTAAAATTAAAAGAGAAGTTGATCCATAAAATCCTTGAGTAATTTTAATACTTAAGAAGTAGACAAACAAAAGGAACAATAAAAAATATTAAGAAAGAATAGCTGTAAAAATAACCAAATACAGGAGCCTGTAGTAACATGAGGGGTTAGTGGGGGAAGAGAATTTTGAAGGAAGAAATGATCAAATATGTCAAATATTGCTTTAAAAAGGCTAACAAAAAAGAACAAACTGTATCTATTGGAATTAAAAGCATACAGATTATTGGAGACCTTGGTATTTAAAAGCTGTGACTGGAACTGAAGCCAGCTAGAGTGAGTTAAAAATAACTGGGAAGTAAGGAAGTGGAGACCAAAAATGAAATCAATTCTTTAATGAGGTTTTCAGTCCATGGAAGCAGCATCCTCAATGTTCTGAAAAGGGTCAACTTTGATCTGTCACTTACAGGGATAGGTTTTTAGCCACTGTGGGTCACTTTCCTCTTGGACTGCAAAATTCTTCCATTTCCCATTCTTTGCAGGATTTTTTCAATGCTCCAGTCACTCTTTTCACAGTCTTGTTTCCTTTATAATTTTTGTTGTGTTTTGTTTTTCCCAATAAAGGTAGACTTGAAGGGACAATCCAAACAGAAACTGAAAGTATCAGAATGTAAACTAATTGGATTTCATCATAATTTTTATATAAAATTGATTTAATTTGTAAGGAATCTGAACTTAATGAAAATGTATAATGATCATAATACATAATCTGTTTTCTTGTATTGATGATCACAGTGGTTAATTACGAAGTGGATGCTCCCAAAATCACAACCTGTTTAAGGTCTAACACCTGATACTATACTGGTACAAATTAGAGAGCCCTATGTGAGCCTGATAGATTTTCTCCTGGGTATCATATCAGAGCATGTTCCTGTAGAGCAACCTAGGACTAGTTACATTCCCATTTCAAAGAAGGGTGTACCTTGAAGGGACATAATCAGAATCACGTACAATTACATCCTTGGTGCAAACCAGCACAATAAAGCCAGCCTCATTTTCCTATCTGGTTCTTCTCTACCTTTTTTCCCCCTAAAAATCTAATTATGAGTTTAGGATACACCCTTGCAGTCTACAAACTTGCTCTTCAGTGATACATTATTACATATCACAGCATCTGTGTTGGCGCCTAGATCAAGGGAGTTTTGGAACCTAAATCTAGTCCCAAAATCTTTCTAAATAATTCTTTTGTGAAACCCAGGACTCCACTGCAAATTTTACCTGGGGAAAACATTCTTAGTAGAACTGATAAACTTGCTAATTAAAGCATAACAATGACCCTCTATCACATATATTTTAGAAGGGTTGACGGTAGGCCAAGAAAGTTAATATTTAATTTTTGTGTCAAATAAATATACACTAAAATGTAGCATCATTTGCTATCTTAGTTTTATGATAGAATTAAAATCTCCAGATAATTCCTCAAGTCTCTTGCTTTTTAAAATTATACTTTTACTTGTGGATTTATCATTCTCCAGACTTGCTCTTGCATGAAGAATATTTTGCAATCTCTTTAGCTGCTGCAAAAAGCCCATCCTAGAATATGAGGTACCAATTTCATGCAGGATTTTCAATAAAAGAAGAGTGACATCCACACAGATCCAGAGCTCAGCCTGTTCCATCAGACTGATAATACTCTCCCAGCTTCTCAGTCTGAAATATGTCCTCCTGCTGGTCCTCATTATTAACACCTTCAGTGATGCCCTTTCAAGCCTGTTGTCATACAGCGGGCAGTATCTCAGTGCTGTCAGGAGCATCATTATCGTCTCTGTAAATGAATACACAGGCATCTGACCCCAGAACCTCTCAAAGCTCACTAGTCTCTGCAAGGAATGTTGAGACAGGGAAAAAAGTGTGTGGGTCTGTATCTAAACAAACATATATATTTTTTACACTTCGACTATATTCCCCTTTCTGGTTCTGTCTCTGAATACAAATATATTTAGAGATATATTCATAGAGACATATTAGTATATATGTATCTAATATGTAAAATGATGCAATTTAAATTAAAATTACAATCTTTCTGTTATAGTTCCTCAAAGTAAATGTAGTTGAGAATAACAATATTATAGATGCTTATTTCCTTGCCTTTTATTCTTTTTCATCTTCTTATGAATGGTATATAATGTGCTAAAAATAAAATAAAACCCGCTTTAGTGACATAAAGAGTATCAATTTTGTTTATTTTTTTAAGATTTTCATTAAAATATAAAAAGTGATGTATCTCAGTGATATTTTCTGAACTAGTAAAATAGTATCTTTTTAAAATGTCTAGAATTATAATTGTTTTTGTAGGCACATCTGCGTAAAGGAGAGGGCAAATTGTGGTGGTGTATAGGTAAATATACAGATATAGAAATAATAAAGAATTTAAAAAATAGACAATGTGACGTTTCCAGTGGTAATTAGACTAGATTTTAGAGCATCAAAATTGAAGAAACACTGCTCTGGGCCTTAGAATAGAATGCAAACTGAGAATGACACAATTTTTAATGGAAAAAAAAAGCTAGTGAAATCTCAACTCTAGAGATTACAATTCATTATATCAGTGATTTACCTTTTTAATATTAGAACATGCAATATAAATATCTGTATAGATTTCTAACAAGGTAATATTTAAATAAGTTCATTGTGAATAAACCACATTGAATAAATGTGATTACTGTCCATGAAAACATCTTTGTAAGAGGGAATTAAAGAGGTCAAATGACTAGAAATACCTAATAAAAAAGAACTATTTATTTTAAAAATATTTTACTTTTTGTATTATTTCATATAACTCTAGTTATATCTATATATGTGCATTATATATATATATAAATTATATATAGACATATTTATACTTATTTATTTAGATACAGGGTCTCACTCTGTTGCCTAAGCTGCAGTGCAGTGGTGCAATCATAGCTTGCTGCAGGCTTGAACTTCTGAACTTAAGGGATCCTCTCACCTCAGCCTCCCAAGTAGGTGGGACTATAGGTGTGCACCACCAGGCCCAGCTAATTGTTTTATTTTTTGAGAGACAGTCTCCTTTTGTTGTTCAGCCTGGTCTTGAATTCCTGGGCTCAAATGATCCTCCCACCTCGGTTTCACAGGGTGCTGAGATTACAGGGCTGAGCCATTGCACTGAGCGATAAATACATGGTTTAAATGTACTGAAAGCTGTCATCTAGAGTAGTGACTATATGGTACAATATTTGTTATCTATGAAAAAAACACATTTCCTGATTTCTATTTAAGAAGTGATCTTTCATATTTCTCATAATCAAGGTAAATAATATAATACATTGCTCTATTAAAAACAATAATTATAAGATACATACACATATTATTAGTAAAAAATATGTATTATGTTCACTACGTGATATTTTATTCTGCACCCTTTCAATTATGCTAATCCATGAAGATGAATACATGAACACGATTTTATAACATATAGTATAAAATATTCATTTGTTTGGTTGTATTGGCAGAAATACCAATGCCAGGAATAAAAGTGATTCACTGCTGAGGGAAATTTTGAACCAGATTAAGAACTTTCTGACCTTTCATTATGCACTACTGCACTTGTTTCTGAGAAAATAGGAGTCATGTAGATATACTGGATTTTCCAGTAAGTTATGTAAAAGAGATTATATAGCAATACTTTACAGTAAATCATTATTTTATAATCTTCTTTTAAAATATTTTCTTAGTTGGGCAGAGTGGCTCACACCTAAAATCCCAGCACTTTTGGAGGCTGAGGTGGGTGGATCACTTGAGGTCAGAAGTTGCAGACCAGCCTGGCCAACATAGTGAAACCTGTCTCTACTAAAAATACAAAAATTGGCCAGGTGTGATGCATGCCTGTAATTCCAGCTACTTGGGAGGCTGAGGTACAAGAATCGCTTGAACCTGGGAGGTGGAAGTTGCAGTGAGCTGAGATCACGCCACTGCACTCCAGACTGGGTGACAGAGTGAGACTCTGTCTCAATAAATAAATAAAAATGTTTTCAATAAGTAAGCTAGGTCTAGATTAATTGACAAATGCTACATTTATACTAGCTGGCTAATTTGCAGCATATCAGAAAGAACCATATACAACACACAAATTAAGGTTTAAAGTTTGTCCATGCTTTAGGCTGAATTCTTAACCAAACAATTGTTTTGCAAACAACTATTACAACACGTTAAAAATAAAGTGAGTTATGAGAAAAATATATAAATTAATCAAGTTTTATAATAAGCAAGTATTCCCACATTTAATATAAATACATATGAACATACAAAGTTTATGTGAATTAATATAATTGCTGATTTTCAAAACAGATAACAAACCTCCCAGAGTGTTCGTATGTGGAACCTGTCTTAGTCCAGCAGTGTGTCCTGGGGCTGTCTCTTTCCCTAAGGCAATGATCCACACTGGCTTATTCTTTGCTGTTCATAGCTGGGGGTAATAGGCATGGGGTGAAGGAGATATGCCAGACCAGAGAAAAAATGGACATGAAATATTTTTCCATGTTATCCCCAAAATTCCTAATAACATGAAATGAAAGGAGAATTATTTTTTAAAATACTCCTACTTCATAAGTTATATTGAACTGTATAAACTATATAAATTAAATTAAGCACTCTAAAACTTTGAGAAGACAGGCTAAGTGGCCATTTACTGTAGCTAAGTGTGTGTAATGGAATAGATCTACAGTATCAAGAAATTAAAGATGTGTTTAACTGGAAAGTGAAAAAAGCTAGGTATAGAAAAATGCAATATTAAGGAAATAGCAAAGGCTTAGAAGAACTCTGTAAAGAGAGCTAGGTAAATTTTCTAATCGACAAAAGCAGAATTTATAAATATTGATATAGAGTCTATAGAAGGATATAAAATACAATGCAATTGTAATGCATTCAAGTAAGCAACAGTGGCCTTTCTCTATTTTATTATCATTGGCAATTGGATAACAAAAGATATTGTTGCCCATGATCATATAGGATAATAAATTATGTGGCTCATCTGATGATTCTAACTTGGATTTATCAGCATCTTGTTTTAGGCAATCTAACCCCAAAATGGAAAAGGCAAACAATTACAATTTAAATAAAATTTTATAAACAGTTTTTTTTTTTTGTCTATTGATCATGCATTAATGCCGCTCCTGCAAATGATACCTCAATTTTCACTTTTGGAATTTACCATTTTCCCATTGAATAAAGCACATTGTATGGGACTTCTTGAACGTAAAGCTTTGCATAATCACCTTAGAAGTAACTGAAAAGCAATCATAGATATACTGTTGAGAGTTGCTGATTTAACCAATGAATTCTTGAGCTCCAAGGATTCTTGTGAAAGTCAATTTATGACCTGAGAGTATGGAGCTGAACAAAAGGAATAACACAGTAATAAAATACTCCCCATTCTAAAGTGCCTTCTAGAAGGAAGGAATTCATCCTCTCTTGGGGTTTATGTGGATAACTTTGATTTAGAGAAAGAAGATCAAAACTTAATTCTGATCACCTGCTTTTTCCTCTTCTATCTCCCATTCCCCCCACCGACCACTCAACTGGGTGAGGAACTGAACAAGATTTTCTTTTTGTTATTTTTTCTGCCCTTTTAGGCTTTCTCCAATAGCATATCTTTCCCTATGCTTACTTCAATTTATGGATTAACACAACGGAAAGGGTGCAAAATAAAATGTTATCTTATAATATTTAACTATGATATTTAACTACTGAAAAGCAGACCCTATTTCAAAAATAGCAATTCTGTTAAACTTTTTCATTCAAACATTGTAGAATAGACTTACTTTTGTTGGTATTTCTGGGAATATAGCAAATCATTGAAATTTGACACTTGGTTTTTTATATAAAAAAGGTATCTGAATTGTCAATATTCTCTGCTCATTTTAGTTTTTTGTTTATATGGTTTTACTCGTTTTAAATAAGCTGAAAGAAGAAAGCAGAGCAATTATACATTAACAGGTTTCTTTTGTTAAGCTTCTTATTTTTGAGTTTTTTTCTTGTTGCGGATACAAGTTATTGTCTGGAAACATTTTCTTAGCCCAGTATGATTTTTCTTCCACCTACCTCCTCTGCGCTGTTATTGGCATATACATTAAAATTTTATTTATTTTTATTTTTATTATTTTAATTTATTTAAAGTTCAGGAGTACATGTGCCAGTTTCATTTTTTGTTGTTGTTGTTCATTTGGTTGTTTTTGAGATGAGGTCTTGCCCTATCACCCAGGCTAGAGTCCAGTGGCACAAAAGCAGGTCACTGCAGCCTTGGCCTCCTGGGCTCAAGGGATCCTCTCACTTCATCCTTCTGAGTAGCTGGGACCACAGGCATGCTGCCACAAAGCCTGACTCATTTTTAATTTCTTTATAGAGGCAAGGGTCTCACTATGTTGTCCAGGCTGGTCTCGAAGTCCTGGGATCAAGTGATCCTTTCAGCTTGATCTCCCGAAATACTGGGTGTTGCTCTGTTGCCCAGGCTGGAGTGGCACGATCTCAGCTCACTGCAACCTCCACCTCCCAGTTACAGGCAATTCTTAAACCACAGCCTCCAGAGTAGCTGGGATTACAGGTGCATGCCATCACATCAGGCTAATTTTTGGTATTTTTAGTAAAGCTGGCGCGACCAGGCTGGTCTAGAACTCCTGACCACAAATGATCTAAGCTTTCACCTTTACAAACCAAGGACAAACAATCAATTTAAGCCTTAGGAAAGCAAAAGAAAAGATATCATGAAATAGAAGAAATCATAATTTGAAAACAGGTAAAGATAGTGAAAAGCTGGTTTTTGAATAAAAGCAGATGAAACTCTACCAAGGCAAATAAAAAAGTCACAAAATATCAATATCTATAGCATAAGTAAAAGATAGGTCATTACTGGTAACTCCATAAACATTATTATAATAATAAAGAACTACCCCAAACACATCTATGCCCTCAAATCAAATAACTTAGATGCAGTGGACTAATTTATTTGGAAGGCATGAAATACCAAAACTCACACAGGAGAACTAGATTATTCACTATTTCTATATGTATTTTAAAGATTGTATCAGTCAATAATAACCTTCCATAAAGAAAGCACCCATTATCCCTCACCAAAAAGAAATACTCATGCATAAATCTAACAAATATGTACAAACTCTATGTGAGGAAAACTACAAAACGTTGATGAAAGAAGTTCTAAAAGAACTAACTAAATGAAGAGATATTTAATTTTAATGGATCAGAAGACTCAATATTGTCAATATGTCATTTCTTCCCAATGTGAACTAAAGACTCAATGCAATCTTAATAAAAATTTGTGGGTATTAAAAAACTGATTCTACAGTTTCACAGAGACACAAAAGACTCAGAATAGCCAACACAATATTGAAGAACAAAGTTGGAGGGCTGGCATTACCCAATTTCAGGACTTACTGTAAAGCTATAGTATTAAAGATAGCATAGTATTGGTGAAAAAAATGGAAAAATAGATTAATCAAACAAAATAGGGAGCTTGGAAATAGATGCACATACATATAGTCAATTGATCTTTGACAAAGGAGCAAAGGCAATGCAATAAAGCAAAGATAGTCTTTTCAACAAATGGTGCTTAAACAACTGCACATTCACATAAAAGAAAACTAGATTTTACCCCTGATTTTACCCCTTTAACAAAATTAACTCGAAATAGGTTATAGACCTACATGAAAACTATAAAACTCCTAGAATATAGCATAGGAGAAAACATAGATGGCAATGACCCTGTTGATACAGTACCACAGTCATGATCCAATAAAAAACTAATTGATAAGCTGGACAACATTAAATTTTAAAAAAAAGCTGTCATGTTAAATACACTGCAAAGGGAATAAAAGACAAGACACTGACTGGGAGAATACATTTGCAAAAGATATGTATAATAAAGTTTTGTTATTCAAAATATACAAAAAAACCAGTTAAAGCTCTACAATTAGAAAACAAACCACAAGATTAAAAACTGTGCCAAAATCCTGAACAGACATCTCTCTAAAAAAATTAGATGAATAAATAAACATATGAAAAGATGTACCATGTCTTATAATATCAAGGAAAAGCTAATTAAAACAACAATAATCACTTCACACACATTAGTGTGGCCAAATTCTAGAACACTGACAGTACCAAATGCTGGTAAGAATGTAGAGCAACAGAAACTCTTATTTATTGCTGGTAGGAATGCAAAAAGGTACAGCCATTTTGAATTATTTTTGTACTCTGTACCAAATTTTCTGTTTTGTACTATTTTGTACCTTGCACAAGTGTACTACTGATACCAGTGGCAGCCAGTCTGGAGTGACCACTGCCATCATGTCAGCCACAGAGGGGAGATGAGGCTGGAGCTGCACACTCCACAGAGCCAGTGGGAGCTGTTAACAGTGGGATCCCTGACCCTTCTGAGTTGGTGGTGCAGGAGCTGCCCTGTACAGCTGCAGCCACCCAAGTTGTGGCTGCAGACCAGGGCCTCTCACTTCATGGAGCAGACAGGAGCCCCAGTACCCTACTGCAGGCACAGATGCAGCTGCCCAAACTATGGCTGCAGACCAAGGGCATCCCTGCACTCATGGGGGCCCAGGAAGGCCCCCCTCTGTCCTTGCAGGCTTGGAAGTACCTGCTCCCACTGCCTGGCATCTCCCTGCTGTCAGCACCCACTCCAATCTCGGAGCAAAGTCATGGCCAAGCCTGAGCACTGTCACAGCCCAGCCAAGTGTGCAAACTCTTGGGGAAGTGTTGAGATGCCAGCTCCCTGCCACTTCAGCCCCCTTCTGGACTTTGGGTGCCAGCGAGCATAGGAAGGAAGCCAGGAAGGGCCTGAAGGCTGGGGGCTGGGCTGCCACTTCCAAGGACTGGAGTGGGAACTTGTGGTGCCTTTTCTGGGCCTGTCCATGGCTACCCATGGACCAATCAGCATGCACTTTTTCCTCTCTGAGGCCCATAAAAGCCCCAGGCTCAATCAGATTTGAGCAGACATCTGGACAACCAGTTACAAAGAGGAGCTACCCACTTCAGGGCCTCCTCTCTGCTAAGAACTGCAGAAGTCAGGAGGACCAGTAGCAGAGAGTAACTACCCAACCCAGGACCTCTTATCTGCCAAGAGCCACAGAGACGACGGGAAGACCTGCCTGTAGAGAGTAGCTACTTGCTACAGGGCCTCCTCTCTGCTGAAAGCTCAACACTTGACTTGACCACCTGCCTGCAGAGTGGACCTACCCACTCCAGGGCCTCCTCTGAGCTATTTTGTCACTCAACAAAGCTCCTATTTACCTTGCTCACCCTCTACTTGTCTGTGGACCTCATTCTTCCGGGGTGCAGGAAAAGAACTCAGACCTGCCAAATGGCAGGGCTGAAAGAGCTGTAACACAAACAGGGCTGAAACACACCCCTTGCTCGCCATGTTGTCAGTGAAGTAGAGAGAAGAGCTTCAGCCCCTTGGGGATCCCAGACCTGGGAATTCCCCAAGCCAGGGCTGTAACTCCCTCTTTGGGGCCCTGCAGTTCCTGGAGTCTCCAAGCTTCCAGGTGCCACTGCATTCCTCATTGGTGAAAACTGCTTACGGTGCACCTGGTCTGGCAGCAGCCTTGCAGAGAGGAGCATCTGTGCCAGCATATGGAGCTGCCCACCCCTCTGCAGCAGCCCTTGTGCCTGACTATGCACAATGCCTGGACCCCATGCTCACCTGTTTACACACTCCTAATGACTCTACGCCTGGTATGCCCTTGGCAGGCATGGGATCCAGGCTGGTAGCATGAGCCAAGTGCATCCTGCCAGGCCGAGTGGGTGAAATGAGCCCAGTGGACCTGGGCAAAACTCAGGCAATGGCGCTACTGGTCACAGAGGTTTCTGGCTAGAAATGGAAACGCAACACCCTAAGGATCTTGAAACACTATTTTGTGCTTTGTATCAAAGGTGTTTCACACTTTCTTATAAAACTCTCCTAGAGAAATTCCATTATTATTTGTATCTTGACACTTGTGAGTCTGCTGGTAGAATGTGGGAAGAGGAAGCATTTTTTGATGCTTTGATTAAGCATCTCTCTTGAGTAGGCATCATGTAGCTAGATCATGAGGGAGTGACCTCAACATTCCTGCCACTCATCTTGCATGTGTACATGTTCCTGTGGTAGGTGCTTTTTTTTTTCTTTTTTTTTTTCTATCCCTCAGCTGCAACAGAGTTTTCCTGTGCTCTAAGCGAGAAAGAATTCATTGATCCCTCACCTTTGAACTAATGGTATTTCCCCAATAAGGAAAACAGGGGAGAAAGCCCTGGGCAAAGATTTGTGCCTCCCTGTAGTGGCCGTTCCAGCCCTCAAACATGAATAATGTTTTCTCAAGATCCGAACCAATTTGATTTGTGAGAACTGCATGAAAGCTCTGGAGAAAAAACCTAAAATGTGTTGCTATATCTTTGATCACCAAACTATTTGCCACATACAGTTTCCATTAATTTTTTACTTCTGTGGCTAAATTTTTAACTGATATCTGGCTTTGTATTTCTACGTGAGCAAACACTTTTTTCTTGACTCTTCTAATAGATTACTTATCTCTCTTTAGATGTCAGACTAATTTATTGCTCTGTTAACTCAGCTCTCTCCTGTCTTCAAGGAGTCATGAATTTGCAGATTTTCTGTTTTATTTATTGTTTTCTTTTTGGTTATTGTAGTGACGGAAGTGATGCTTGTTTTATGTCTCTACATTGTTACATAAAAACCAGAGTTCCATAATTTATCTTATTCTTTCACAATATGTATTTACTTTTAAGGACATTTTGTTGACAGTAACTTCAAAATATATTAACTGTCAAAGTACTTCTTACCAGGTATAACGTTGCAATCAGATTCTACCAGTATCATCTCTAGTTTATCATTATATAATGATAAAAGAATCAATTGGCAAGAAGATATAACAATTATAAATATATATGTACCAAAGACCAGAGCACACAGAAATATAAAGGTAATAGTGCTGGAGATAAAGAGAAAAATAGATCCCAATATGTAAAAAGTTAGGAAATTCAACACCGTACTTTCAACACTGGATGGATGATCTAGACAGAAAATCCACAAAAAAAAAAAAAACTTCAGACATAATCTGCACTGTAGAAAAAATTGATCTAACAGACATTTACAGAACATTTTATCTAATAGCTGCAGAATAAAAATTTTTCTCATCAGCACATGGAACATTCTGCAAAATAGACCATATGTTAGGCCACAAGACAAGTCCCAACACATTTTTTAAAATTGAAATTATATCAAGTATGTTCTTAAACCACAATGGAATAAAAGAAGAAATCAATAACAAGAGGTAATATAGAAACTGTACAAATACATGGAAATTAAGCAACATGCTCCTGAATGACCAATGGGTCAATAAGAAAAAATAATAGAGAAATTTAAAAAAAATCTTGAACCAATTGAAAATGAAAACACAACATAGTAAAACCTGTGACTGATAGGGTACAACCCATGTTATTTGGGTGATGGATTCCCTAAAAGCCCTGACTACACTGCTACATAATCTAAGAATGTAACAAAATTGAACGTGTGTATTATACATTTATACAAAAATATATACTACTGCCAAAATAATGCTAACAGGAAGGTTTATAGCAATAAATGCCTACTGTGCAAACTAGAAAAAATTCCAGTGAATAACCTAACAAAGTAACTGAAGGAACTAGAAAATAAGAACAAACCAAACACAAAATTAGTAGAAGAACATACATATAATAAGGATCAGAGCAAAATTAAACAAAATAGAGACTAAAAATTTATATAAAGTAAGTGAAAAGTTGATTGTTCAAAAAGATAAACAAAATCAGTATACTGCTAGCTAGGCTAGCCAAGAAAAATAGTGAAGACCCAAATGAATAAAACCAGAAATTAAAAAAGAGATAATACAACTGATATCACAAAAATACAAAGATAATCAGAGACTCCTATGAACAACTATAAGCTAACAAACTGACAAGTCTAGAAAAGTGGATAAATTCGTGGATAAACACAACCTCCTAAGATTGAACCAAAGAAATAGAAAATCTGAATAGACCAATAAAAAGTAACGATACTGAGTCAGTATGAAAAGTTTCCTAAAAAAGAAAAGCCCAGGACTGAACTGCTTTATGATTGAATTCTGCCAAACTTGTAAAGAATAACCAACACCAATTCATCTCAAACTATTCCAGATGATTGAAGAAGGGGAATTTCTTTTCTGTCATTGTGTAAATCCAGAAGTATACTGATACCCAAACCAGAAAAAGACACAAGAAAAATTAAAATTACAGAGGAATATCCCTAATCAACATGGATGCAAAGTTTCTCAAAAAACACTAGAAAACCTAATCTAACAACACATCAAAAAGATAATACACCATGATCAGATGGAATTTATCTCAGGAATGCCAGGAAGGTTCAGCATATGCAAATGAATAAATATGATACATCACATCAACAGAATGAAGGAAAAATATGATTATCTCTATAGAAACAGATAAAACATTTGATAAAATTCAATATCCCCCTCATGATAAAAACTCCCAACAAATTAGGCATAAAAGGAACAAACTTACACTTAATGAAGGCCATATGTGACAAACCCACATTGTACTTAATGGGGAAAAGCTGAAAGCCCTTTCTCCATTATCTGCAAAAAGACAATGATGTCTAATTTCACCACTCTTACTCAGCATAGTGCTGGAAATCACAGCCAGAGCAATCAGACAAGAAAAAGAAAAAAAAAACATCCAAAATGGAAAAGAGAAGGTCAAATTGTCCCTCTTTGCAGTTGGCATTATCATATATATAGAAAACCTAAGGACTCCCAGAAAAAATTTTAGAACTCAAAAACAAATTCGGTAAAATTACAGAATAAAACATCAATATACAAAAATTAGTGGTGGTTCTTTACACCAATATATACTTGCTGAAAAAAATAATCAAGAAATCATTTCAATTTATAGTAGCTACAAAATGTTAAAATACCTAAGATTGCATGTAATCAAGAAGGTGAACAACCTCCACAGTGAAAACTAGAATACACAGATGAAAGATATTGAAGAGGTTGCAAACAAATGAACGGACAGCTCATGATCATGGATCAGAAGAATTAATTGTTAAAATGACAATACTACTGACAGCAATCTCCAGATTCAAGGTAATCCTTATCAAAATACCCATGACATTCTTCACGGTAATAAAAAGAATCCTAAAATTGGTGTGGGAACATGAAAGACCTTGAATAGCCAAAGTAAGCCAGAGCAAAACGAAAAAAGCTGGAAGCCTTACACTACTTGAATTCAAAGTATATTACCAATCTATAGTAATCAAACATCACAGTTTTGATGTAAAAATGGGCACATAGGCCATTGGAACAGAAGAGAAAACCAGATGTAAATCCACATATTTACAGCCAAATGATTTTTGACAAAATCAACAAAAACCTACATTGGAGAAAGGACATGCTCTTCAATAAATGGTGCTGAGAAAATGTATATCCACATGCAGAAGAATGAAGTTAGACCTCTATTTCTTGGCATACACAAAAGTCAGCTAAAACAAATCAAGAATTTGGGCATAAGATCCAAAACTATAAAATTAGTAAAAGAAAGCATAGGAGAAACCTTCCAGATCATCGTCTAGGGAAAGATTTTATAAATAAGACTTCAAAAGTACAGACAACAAAAATGAAAATAGACAAATGGGACTATATTAAATTAAAAAGTTTCTGTACAGCAAAGAAAACATCAATAGAATGAAGGGACAACCTGAAGAATGGGATAGAATATTTGCTAACTACTTGTATGACAAGGGAATTATATACAGAATATATATGGATCTCAGACAATACAAAAGCAAAAAACCAAATGATCTCATTAAAAATAGGGCAAAGGATATGCATAGCCATTTCTCGGAAGACACACAAATGGCCAACAAGTATATAAAAATGCTCAATATTATTAATAATCAGAGAAATGCAAATTAAAACCACTAGCTATCACCTCACCCCCCAGCTGGAATGGTTATTATCAGGAAGGCACAAAATATCAAATGCTGAAAAGGATGCAGCGATATAAATTAGTACAGCCATTATGGAAAACAGTATTCAGGTTTCTCAAAAAACAAAATATAGAACTTTCATACAATCCAGCAATCCCACTACTGGGCATTTATTCAAAGAAAAGGAAACTAGTATATGGAAGTGATATCTATCTCCTCATGTTTACTGCAGCACTATTCACAATAGCCAAAATACAGTATCAACTTTTATTCATCAGTGAATGAATACAGAAAATTTGGTTTGTATGCACAATAGAATACTATTCAACCACAAAATATAAGACAATTCTGAATTTGTAGCAACATGAATGAAACTGGAGGTCATTGTGTTACCAATAAGTTAGGCACAAAAAGACAAATCCTGCATGTAAATGTTTTCCCTTATATGTGAAAGCTAAAAACATTTCTCTCACTAAGGTAGAGAGTAGAATGAGTTACCAGAGACAGGGTAGGGCAGGAGGGATTAAAAGAGAGTGGTTAATGGATACAAAGACACAATTAGATGGAAGAAATGAGTTCTAGCATTTAGCAACACAGTAGGATAACAATAGTTAATAATTTATTACATTTCAAAATAACTAGATTTGACATGTTCCCTGCACAGAGAAATGGTAAATGTTTGTGGTGATGGTTATTCTAAATACCCTGTTAATCATTACACATTGTGTGTGTTCATCAGAGTATCAAGTGTATTCTATAAATATGTATATGATTTTCTTCTTATAATGTTTTTTGGTGTATCATTTTGTTGCATGTATCAATTATTAATTTGTTTTAATTGCTGAGTAGGATTACATTGTATTGACATATTGTTTTTCCAGCTGAAGGACATTTAGGTTGTTTAGGCAACTATGAATAATTCTATAAACATTTCATTAAAATTCTCTGTATGAATATATATTTTCAATTCTCTTGGGTGCATTACTGAGGGAAAAATTGTTGGTTTCATATGATGAATCTATACTTTCCAAATTGGCTGTAATGTTTTATATTCTTACTAGCAGTGTAAAAAGATTGGCGTTTCCCCTCAATATTGCCAATGCTTGGTATTAAGCCTTTGTATTTATAATCATTCTACTGGATACATAGTAATATTTCATTTTGATTTTTTTTGTATTTTCTTAGTGATGAATGATTTTGAGCATCATTTTAAAATTTCTGTACCATCCGTTTAGCTTATCTGATGAAGTGTTTACTAAAAGCTGTTTTACTTCTTTTTAAAAAATGAGTTGTTTCCTTATTATTGAGTATTAAGCATTTAAAAGTATTTAGACTGAGGTTGGGAGTTCGAAACCAGCCTGACCAACATGGAGAAACTCCGTCTCTACTAAAAATACAAAATTAGCAGGGCATGGTGGCACATGTCTGTAATCTCAGCTACTCATGAGGCTAAGGCAGGAGAATTGCTTGAATCCGGGAGGCGAAGGCTGAAGTGAGCAGATATCGTGCCATTGCACTCCAGCCTGGGCAACAAGAGTGAAACTCCATCTCAAAAAAAAAAAAAAAAAAAAAAAAAAAAAAATATATATATATATATATATAAAATATATGTTATAATATATAATTATATGTTTTGGCTATATATGTATAATATATAATTATATGTTTTGGCTATTATAATATATAATTATATGTTTTGGCTACTTATATGTTTTGGCTATTATGAATAATGCCACCATGAACCTTCATGTGCAAGTTTTTGTGTAGATATATTTTCATTTTTCCTGGCTGTATGCCTAGGAACAGAATTACTGGGTCTTGTGGTAACTCTGTTTTATATTTATATATAGATACAAGTCTTTTATAAACATAAATATGCAATTTGAATATGTGTACTCACTGTCACTTAAGTGGAAGCTTCTAATTTCAATAAAGTATAATTCATCATTTTTAAAATTTATGCTTTTATCAATAAATTTTTTATTTTATATGGGATCATTTTTAAGAAAGCTCCTAATTTAGTTCACAAAAACTTCTACTATTTCTTTTCATTTTTGTTTTTTCAGATTTATTTTTTTAGATTTTGTATTTACATCTATGATTCATATTTAAATTAATTATTGTTTAAAATTTGAGGTGAAGAAACTAGGTTAATTTTTTGTATTTTTTGCATATAAAAATCCAAATGTTCCAACATATTGCCTAGGAAAGACTTCCATATCATTGAATAGCCTTAGTGCCTCTGTCCAAAATCAGTTATTTCTTGAATCTATTCTGCTCTTTTATCTATTATCTATCTTTATCCCAAATATACACTATTTTTTGTTGCTATAGCTTTATATTAAATTTTGAAATCAGATAGTATAAATCGTACATCTTTATACTTATTTTTAAATGGAGTTTCCTATTCTAGATCCTTTGCATTTCCAAGTAAAATTTAGGATAAATTTGTTATTTTTTATTATTAGTCTCCTAAAAATTTGATAGAATTTCTTATAAATAAAGTTGAGAATATCTTAATAATTTGATGTCATTCAATAGGTCTTCTTTAACATATCTCAGCTGTATTTTGGTGTTTAAAATGTAGAGATTTTTTACTACTTTATTAAATTTATATTTAAGTATTTTTAATGCTATTGCATTAAAATAATTTTACCAATTTAGTTATCAGATTGATTTTTGCTAGTACATACAAATACAATTTTTTTAATATTGATCTTGCAGCCTATGACGTTACTCAACTTGCTTATTTTTTCAAGTAAGATTTGTATGTGTGTGTTTCTTAGAGTTTGTTGCTTTTGAAAACTTTTTGATCTAGAAAAAGAACTCAGGTAGTTGTATTTATTTTAAACCAATATAGATGCATCTTATTTTCTTTTCTTGCCTTATTGCCTTGGCTAGATCCCAAAGCATAATGTTGAGCAGATAAAGTAACATCAAACAAACTTGCCTTCTTCAAAATCTTAGTTAATAGTATTCAGTCTTTTACCATTAATTGTGATTTTTACCTGTAGATTCTCTGGACTTTATTTTTTAATCAAAACATAGATATTCCAATTTAATTCCTAGCTTTTGATTGTTCTTTTAACCAAGAATGGGTGTTGGATTTTGTCAAATCCCTTTTTGTTGTAACTGTTGAAATACTCCCATGTTTCCCCAATTATACTTTCATATCATATAAATTGCAGATAAAATCTAACTGTCATCAGCAGCCTGTAAGATGGCCTCCAAGGCCTACTTTCTGGTATTATGACCTTTTGTGATTTCTTTCTTTTGAATATAAGCTGGACCTAGTGATTCACTACTAAAGAAATAGAATATAGCAGAAAGAAGGAGAACTGAAGGGAAGCAACAAATTTGTAAAAGGGCATGAATAATAAGACAGACAGACAAGGACTTTGTGGAATGAATTAAGTAGAGATGATTAAAGGAGTTTTGAGAAATATTGCTGTGATAAGTTGCTAAGAGTGGACAAAAAGCAAGTAGAGCAGAGCAGAACAAGTCAATGAGGTCAGTAATATCCAGATTTCATATGTTATGAATGCCATTTTATTCTATATGCATATGAGTGTTCATAAATGTATAAATGTACAAACATTCTTTTGCACAGCTTTAATGAATTCATCCTACTACCTTCACTGAAATTCCACAGGAAACTTGAGAAATATCAAGATAAAAATCAGTTCCTTTTTGGGAGTTATATTGTAATAGGGGTAAAACCAGATATTATTCAACACCAGAATAAACACTCTCAGTAGCATAACAATAATATAAAGTATTCTATGCAAATTTTGAAGAATTAACACTTTAAAGGTGAAGGTGATTTTTATGGGAAATGTACTTAATAATCAATAGCATTCAAGTTTGGCTTTGAAACAGTGATGAAAATGTGGATCCTTAAATATGAGAATAAAGGCTTGTAAGTATAAGTGAAATATGAGGACAGAAAATAATGGATGTTTCTGGCAAAGAAATGGCATCCTTTGGATGAAATACTGGATGAATGGAAGAGAGCTATAAGTGATAAAATTAGAAAAATTAATGGGTGCAGCACACCAACATGGCACAGGTGTACATATGTAACAAACCTACATGTTATGCACATGTACCCTAGAACTTAAAGTATAATTAAAAAAAAGAAAAACTGTGAGAACTAAAATTTTGAGGGTCAGTTTACCAAATAAGTGTGTATATTTGCACACACATGTAGCAAAAGCTAGTGATATACAATTGCTGAACTGTTGAAGACGAGTGATAGATTAATATTAGCCATCATTAATACTTAAGCACCTGCTTCATGATGTCTCTAACATGACTTTATAAACATAAAAAACTTAACTAAAAATCACAAAGAGGGATATCCTAGAGTAATCTTTAGCTATAACTACTGTGCCACCATCCATCTTAACCCATGGAATCTCTACTATAACTTGTAAGCCTCCTTCACTTGAAACTACAGTGACGAATTCATTCAATTTACATAAAATTCTGATGAATAGTTAGGGACTACCTAAATTATGATGAGAATAATTTTGACATCAATTCTACATATATAAGGAAATAATCCTAAATCGATATATAAGACTACTATGAGTACAGAAATTAGCAACACAACTAGTGCAGATAAGTGGTTGCTTGCCCTGAAATAGAAACACTGGAATCTGGCCAGTCCTTTACAGGTAATAGGATAGTGGTGGCTCTCCTTTATGAGAAGTAAAGATGGCATTTATGTTCCAGTTTAGTTACATAAAATAGACAATATAGCTTGTAGTTAGATATCAGATGTCACACCTGTAGGACATTTTCAAATTGATAATTTGTAACCAGTAGGAGTGGATATATATTATTTTAAAATACCATGGGTTTCCCATAATCTGTGAAGGTGGCTAAGTAGCAAGCACACACTTGGTTCTGAGGGTATTTACCATGACATTAGCTGATATTCCATCATCTTTACTAGTGATCTTATTTGACTGCCTTGGCAAGATAATGGGCAAAACAACAAATAAGAAATTTTCCATTTTGTTATTTTTTAAATTTTATTTTCAATCAACACATCATAATTTTATATATTTATGAAGTAAAGTTTGATGATTCAATACATGCATGTGTTGTATAAAAATCAAATCATGTATTTAGCATAACCATCACCTCATGCATTTATGATTTCTTTGTGGTAAGAACATTAAAGGTCCTTTTCTTTTGTAGCCTCTAGTAATCACCACTCTATTCTCTAATTCTGTGAGATTAGCTTGTTTATATTTCACATTTGAATTAGATCATGAAGCTTTTGTCTTTCTATGCCTCGTCTCTGTAACTTCGCATAATGTCCTCTAGGCTTATCCATGTTGCCCAAAATGACAATATCTTACTATTTTTTATGGCTGAATTGTATTCCAGAAATCGTGGTATAACTACCACAATTTCTGTGTCCATTCATCAATTGATGGACACTTACGTTGATTCTATATCTTAGCTATTGTGAATAATGCTGCAATAAATGAGGTGTAGATATGTCTTCTACATACTGATTTTATTTTCTTTGGATATATACTAAATAGTAGAATTGCTGGATCATTGGGAGTTCTATTTTTAATTTTTTGAGAAATGTCTATACTATTTTCCATAGTGGCTGTACTAGTAACATTCTCATCAACAGTGTATAAGAGTTCCCTTTTTTCTTTATTCTCAACAACGTTTATTATTTTTATTTTTTTGTCTTCTTGATAATAGTCATTTTAATTAGGGTAAAATGATACCTCACTGTGGTTTTGATTTACATTTCCTTGGTGATTAGTGATGGTCAGCATCTCTTCATATACCTGTTGGCCATTTGTATTTTCTTTTGTTAATTGTCTATTCATGTCATTTGCCCATTTTTTAATTAGTTTTTTTCTCGTTCTGTAGGTTGCCTGTTCACTCTATTGATTGTTTTGTTTGCTATGCAGAAACTTTTTAGTTTAATATAGTTCTATTTGACCATTTTACTTTTGTTGCTTGTGCCTTTGGGACCCTATCTAAAAAAGTTTTTGCCTAGTCTAATGTCATGAAGTATATTTCTTCAATTTTATTTTGGTAGTTTCAGAGTTTTAGGTCTTACATCTAAACTTTTACCTATTTTGAGTTGACTTTTGTCTATGGTGAGAGATAGGAGTCTAGCTTTAGTCTTCCGAATGCGGCAACCCAAGCACCCTTTATTGAAGAGACTGTCCTTTCTCTATTGTGCGTTCTTGGTTCCTTTCTTTATTCTGTTCCATTGGTCTGTGTCTATATTCATGCCTATACCATGCTGCTTTGGTTAGTACAGCTCTGTTGCATATTTTAAAGTCACGTAGTATGATGCCTTCATCTTTGTTTTTGCTTAAGATTGTTTTGGTTATTTGGGGTACAGATTTAAGGACAAAAACCATATGATTATCTCAAGCAATGCAGAAAAATATTTGAAAAAATTCAACATCTCCTGTTAAAAACTCTCAACAATTAGGTACATAAGAAATTTACTTCAAAGCAGGAAAAGCCCTACCTGCCAAACCCACACCTAATGCTATACTAAACATGGAAAAGTCAGTAGCTTTTCATTTATTATCTGTCACAAGACAGGAATGTCAATGGCCACTTTTGCCACTTCTATTCAATATAGTACAAGAAGGCCTAGCCAGAGTAATTGGTCAAGATAAAAAAACTTAAGGTATACAAATTAGAAAATAAAAAGTTAAATTGTCCATGTTTATGGATTGAAGAATTAATATTATTAAAGTGTCCATACTACCCACAGCAATGTATAGTTTCAGTGCAATCTCTATCAAAGTACCAATGCCCTTCTTCATAAAAATAAAAAGAAAACCCTAAAATTGATTTGGAATTATTCGGTTTTTTTTTGTTTAATCATAGAGGAATATTCCACTCATGGTGTCAGTCTGTTGATGTAATTGTAATTTATTTTCCCTTTACATGTAGTCTATGTCTAAAGTTGAAAAACAGTGATTTCAGATTTACTGTTTTATTAAAATCTTATTTCTTATTGTTGTTTAAGTTCAGAGACAATCTTATAATATATGTTAATTTGCATTTATGACTCAATATTTCCACTGAAAGCCTCAGTTATTGTAGTGTTATAGTATCCATGTTATACATATTAATATGCCAACATGTCTCCCTCATTCTGGCTTACTTTAATATTTTTTACATAATGAAATTCAGTTACTTTTAGTACAACATGCTAAGTTATTTATAATTTAAAAATTAAAAAGCTAATAAATCACTTTCATAAACATATTTGCATTTTTTTAAAGTTCTGAGAAAGCATAAGACATTATAAATGTAATTGGAGAAAAGCCAAACATATTAATTTTGCAAACTGTTTTAAGTAATTGCATGATGCAGTAGTGCAAAAAAATTCATTGTATGGATGATGCTGAATGTAGAGTTTTAATGAGTTCTTCATTTTGGAAGATGTATTAGTAAAACTTTTTTTGTGGGGACAAGTGTTTCACTTGTTTTTTTTGTGAGATTAAAATAAATTCCATTTTTTTTGTGAGATTAAAATAAATCCCTTTCACACAAAATAAGTATTTATCAAACATTTTGAAGATAAGTTGAAACTTATTTATCTGAGTTAATACTACTTCTGAATATCTTTTACCACAAATAATTTTGTTGTGCAATTTTCTCCAGAAGCATAAACTTGAGCATGAAATTAGCCATTTTAGCCTCACATTATTTTCATTGAGGATTCCAATATATATTTAATAATTCATGAAATATTACTATATAGTAAATAAAAATTTTTTAAAAATCAAAGACTACAATGAAGATTTTGAAATGAATACCATATTCTTCATATCAATTATCTTGGAAAGATATACATTTATTTCACCAAGTACAATATTGTCATTATAGAAAATATTTTTTCATATTTACCATTGTAACTGGAAGATAAATTTCACATTCAAAACCAAGTTGAGATTTTTTTCAAAGCAATAACTAGTTGATTTCAAAGACACCAAAAACATTTCTAAAGTATAATGCTTTCTGTTATGAGAATTATTATTTTAAAATTGATTTCAAAAGAATTTCTAAAACTTTTGGATGAATTTTATAAGTATTCTTGGATGAGCTGCTGCCCACCTAAAGTAACAATTAGTGACTGTAGCGTTTAAAATTATATTCAATTTTGTTTCTCATGTTTTGATATTTTTAAAAATTTTTCTGACAAATTTTGTTTCTTTCCAAAAGAAATGATCAATGGTGATAACAGAATGTCAATAAAAGAAATGGAATGTGAAATGCTCTCACTGTAGTGTATTAGGAAAATATGCCATTTTATAAGAACTGATGATAGATACTCTGCTGAATGTCATTTTATACAGGAAAAACTGCTCCAAATATTCCATTTCATCCTGGGCTGTAGAGGCAATAATATCTTCGTGATTCAGGAATAAATAGCAGAAATATTGTTTGGTACTAATAAAGCTTTTCTCATATCTCCTTGAGATGTCCAAGTAAAAATTTTGAATATTCAACATATTTGTGTGTTAAGAAAAACATTTTCACTACCAGTGAATTATTTGTCTATCTCAATTTTAGGAATTACATCTAAATAGTTTTTATATCTGTATAGTAGCCCCTTCTTAAGGAGTTTTAAAATTATAAGATGTCCCCTACCTTATAACCTATGTTTTCTTTTAAAAACATTAGGTAAGTGAACAAGGTATTGAACATCACTGGATAAATCAAAATATTTTAGTTACACATCATGTATGAAGAACACAGTGTATTTATTTTTAATGAAGATGTTTGTACAAATAGAAACTAACCTTTTAGCACTTTTCAATCAGGTCTGACATAACTTTTATTGCCTTTGTTATCACGCTGCTCCACCAACTGCTAAATTGCTGGCTACTGTTAAACCTAGGGCTAAATCCTGGTTTCCTTTAACTGGCTGTGTTTCTCATCATCTATAAAAATAATGTAACATGTGCCTAATGAGTAAGTTTCTCGGGAGACTGCAAGTTAAAACCTAAGTGTCATTAATACAATATTTTGCATGTTGTAGATTTTCAATGAATATTCGTTGTGGTTTTATCAGGATCTGGGGTGAGTAGGAGGTGCTGGGTGTATTAACATAGTTTTTTTTTAATTTGAAGTAGTGCAGCAACAACAGGAGCACATATGCACAGAGACAAAAACTTGAAAGAGGACCAAAGCCAGAACACGAAAGTACAACTTTTAATATTAAACATTAATCGAACTGTAAAAAATATAGAATGTGATAAATAAAACCACATTAACTTTATGAAAACCACAATTTTGAGTTCAAAGAAAATTATTTAAACTCAGTAAGAATACATTTATGACCTCAATTTACTAAGGGTACAATGGTTTGTGACTACATTAATTTTTATTTTTTTAAATGCATAGATTCAGGGGGTGCATGTGCAGACTTGTTACACGGATATAGTGCGCAGTGGTGTGGTTTGAGGTTCTAGTGTACCCATCACTCAAATAGTGAACACTGTATTCAACAGGTTATTTTCTTTTTTCTTTTTTTTTTTTTCTGAGACGGAGTCTTGCTGTCGCCCAGGCTGGAGTGCAGTGGCGCGATCTCGGCTCACTGCAGGCTCCGCCCCCTGGGTTCACGCCATTCTCCTGCCTCAGCCTACCGAGTAGCTGGGACTACAGGCGCTCGCCACCGCGCCCGGCTAATTTTTTGTATTTTTAGTAGAGACGGGGTTTCACCGTGTTAACCAGGATGGTCTCGATCTCCTGACCTCGTGATCCGCCCGCCTCGGCCTCCCAAAGTGCTGGGATTAGAGGCGTGAGTTCAATAGGTAATTTTCAACCCTTACTCCTTCCCTGCCTCCCCCTTTTCAGAGGCCCTAGTGTCTACTATCCTCCGCCATATGTCCATGTGTGCCCTTTGTTTAGCTCCCACTTATAAGAGAGAACATACAGTGTTTGATTTTCTGTTTCTGAGTTATTTCACTTAAGAGAATAATGGCTTCCAGATTCATTCATGTTGCCGCAAAAGACATTATGTCATCCTTTTTACCACATTTTCTTTATTCAGTCATCTGTCGATGGACACTTAGGTTGATTGTATGACTCTGATATTGTGAATGGAGCCGCAGTTGTCTTTTTGATATAATGATTTCTTTATAATCAACACATAAGTGCTGGTGTCTTTTTGATAAAACGATTTCTTTTGCTTTGAGTAGATACTCAATAGTAGGATTGCTAGGGCAAATTATAGTTCTATTTTTAGATCTTTGAGAAATCTCCACATTGTTTTCCATAGATGTTGCACTAATTTACATTCCCACCAACAATCTATCAGTGTTCCCTTTTCTCTGCTTCCTCACCAACATCTGTTGTTTGTTGACTTTTTAGTAATAGTCATTCCAACTGCTATAAAATGGTATCTCATTATGGTTTTGATTTCCATTTCTCTGTTGATTAGTGATGTTCAGTATTTAATTTTTGAACCAAAAAATCCCTTGTACTTTTATAAACTTTATTTCCTTTTTTATTATACTGTACATTTTTCTAGCAGAATTAAGCTAAAATGGCATAACAAAGTGTCAAAAAGTTAAATTATTCAAACAGGACAGGATTCATTCTTTCCTAGCAGCATCCCCTCTGTAATGGAAGATTAATAGATCACAGACCAGCTGTTTTAACCCCTTTTCTCTTAGTAATTTAAAATGTGAGAAAGAAAGTGCTTTAGCATCAGATGATCTACATTAATATGCATAGTAAATTCTTTTATAACAGTGTACACGTAAATGGAAAATTATTGAGGAAAATGAACAATGTCCTCCTATAAGTCAAAAGTTATAAAATATTTCAAATATCAGAAAATATAAGAGTAATATTGCACATACAAATGTACTACCACCCATATTTCAACACAGGTTATTATTTTGCCATATCTGCTTTATATGTTTAAATAAAATTAGATAGTTACATACAGTTAGAGTACCATCCTCAAGCCTCAATATTAATACTATCCTTCTCACCTAAGTAAAAATAACAATATGTAAATCGGTTTTGTTTTTTAAAGCTTTACGTGAAAGAAATCATACTGTATACATTTGAAACTTTATTTTTTCACTGATAATTATATTTTGTAATTTAGCTATGCTCATATATGCATGTGTTTATTTTCTTCTTAAAATTGAAACACATTTTATTTTTGAATGTATTACTGCTAATTTATCCAATTATTTATTGATCTATAATAAAGTGGGGACCCAATTTTTAAATAATTCTAAGTAGCACTGTCATAGACATCTTTGTTAATGCCTCCTTGCACATATGAACAATTTTAATGTGAAACTTTTCTTCTAGAATATTTACCTAGAATTTGAATTGCAAGGTCATAGAATGTGCAATTATAAAGTTTCTCTTCAAGAGCAAAGCATTTTTATTATCATTCTTTAAGCCTTGACAAAACTTTGTATTCAGACTTTTAAATGTTAATTATTTAGCATTTAAAATTATTTTTCTTTAGTGCATTTTCATTTCTCTTATGAATGTTGTAAGTATATTTTCATATATGTTTCCTGATTATATAATGTGCCAACATTTTTGTCTATTTCTTATCCATTATTATATCAATTGTGATTATCCTCTCTCTTTTTTTAAATCTATAACAAATACTATCTTCCAGATTATAGCTTTTCTTTCTTCTTTCTTTTATATACTTTGTATCATATGGCTTTTAAAGTTAAATTTCTTATTCTTATTTTTATTTGTGGGCTTATTAAATTTGTTCAATAATTTCTTCTAAACAATAATATTTTAAATAAATTCTTGACCATTTATTATATCAGTTACTTCATAGATTTATTACTATTGTCCATCATAATTTTAAAATTTCATTTCCAAGTGGTTTCTGGTGTGTAGAAACAGTACTGACTTCTGTTAATGGCTCTTGTGTTAAGGGAACATGCATATTTATCTTAAAGTTCTTCTTTTTTTTTTTTTAATTTATTGGTTCTGATTCAGACTATTATTTCATCTGCAAACAGCAACCAGTTTAGAGCCCAAACTTTAATACAATAAACTATTCAATATCCACTCTTTAGCTTAGAAGTAAAATTGAGAGAATCAATTGTGAAAGGTTTAGAAGAAATATTTAAAGCATGAATGAACAATGCTGTAAATAAAATGAATTATGCGAATATATGTATTAGCTATTTTAAAAATAAAAATGTCATATTTTCATAAAATATAAAACTAAGTTAAAAGTAATGGTGATGAATTTTTTTTACAAAATATAATTACTTAAACTACCTTAAGAATTTATAGGGGGAGAGAGAGAATCAAGATAAATAGCTAATGCATGTGGGGCTTAATACCTAGGTGATGGGTTGATAGATGCAGCAAACAACCATAGGACATGTTTACCTGTGTAACAAAGCTGTACATCCTGCACATGTATCCCAGAAATTAAAATAAATAAAATAAAATGCTAAATAAATAATGTACACACATATATACCTATATATGCAGACATATGAGAAGAGGAAATAGATCTAAAACCATTTTGAAATTTCAGAAAATAGTCAAAGTCTACTAGTGAAAAAACTTGTCTGGGGTCAAATCTATCTCTATGAATCTTCCCTATTAATTTAGAAATTACATTGGATAATATACTAAGGATGTCCATTTCTTACATTCTTGTTTCTCATCTATATAATAAGAATAATTATATGCCCTCCTCATCAGGGTGAGTGGTGGGAATTAAATGAAACAATTTTAGTAAATTTATTTTACTAACTAAACACTCAATGCAAAGAACCTGCAAAGAATAGACATTTTTGTCAAAAAAGATATACAAAGGGCCAATACATATATGAAAAGATGCTCAATATTTGTAACCATCAGGAAAATGCAAATCAAAGCCAGAATGAGCTGTCATCCCATACCTGTTATTAGCATGATCGTTACAAAAAATCAAAAGATATCAAGAGTTAGAGAGGATTTGAATGAGAAACTTTGTTCCCTATTATAGAGAATGTAAATTTTTCAGCCGTTATAAAAAACAGTTTGTGATTTTCACAAAAAATTAAAGATAGAGCTACCATGTGAACCAACAATCCAAATGCTGGGTATATGCCCAAAAGAAAGTAATTTAGTATATTGAAGGGATATCTGAAGTCCCATGTTTTTTGCACAACTGTTCGCAATAGCCAAGATATGAAATCAACCTAAGTGCCTATTGACAGACTAATGGATAGAAAATTAGACACACACACACATACAGACAAATACACACACACAGACATATACACACGCCGGAATAGTATTAAGCCTTAACAAAGAGGAAAATGTTGTTGTTTATAAAAACATGGGCGAACCTGATAGACATTATGCTAAGTGAAGTAAACCAGGCATAGAAAGACAACTACTGTATGATCTCACTTATATGTGGAATCTGAAAAATTTGAACTTGGAGAAGCAGAGCGTAGAATAGTGGTTGCCAGCAATAGGGGGCAAGAAGAGTGGGAAGATGTTGGTCAAAGGGTACAAAGTTTCAGCTAAGCAGGATTAATGAATACATAAAATGTACAGCATGGTGCCAATAGTTAATAGTAAGTACTACACAGCATACTAGAAATTTACTATGACAGTAGATCTTAGGTGTTCTCAGTACACACTCAAAAAGGGTAATTATGTGAAGTGCTGGATATGCTTATTAGCTTGACTGTAGTAAATATTGCACAATGCATATATATATATCTAAACATCACGATGCATGCTCTAAATATATGCAATTTTTATCAGTCAATTATACCACAATAAATGGGAGAAAATACAAAAATATTTTAGAATTATTTCAACCAATAATATTTATAATTGTTCTTATGAAACATAGGTTTTATTTTGTCATAGAATGTATATATTATGAGAAATTAGGTCGCTATATTGATCTAGGATTCTGAAGATTTGATTTCTATTCATGCCTGCAAATTCTAGCTATTTGACACTTGACAAAGCCTTTTTCTAATCCAAAAATGATAGGATTAGACTACATCAAGGGTCAGAAACTACTACTTGTCATGGGCAAAATATGACCTGCCACCTATTTTTGTGAATAAGTTTTAGCTACAGTATAGTCATGCCCCTTTTTTTTTACATGTTTTCTATGACTGCATTTGCACTACAATAGCAGAGTTAAGTGGTTGTTCTTAAAGATACAAATTTTTAACATTGGCCCATTTTCGAAATCCTGACTACATCATTTTTAAGGTTCTTCTCTGTGCTATTATTCTATAATTCTACAGATAATAATTATTTCTGAATGTGTCAACCTGTTTTAAAAGAAGAAATTATAGAATATAGTAAAATACATCTTTCTCTTCTTCTATTCATGTAGAATAACCAAGCTCTACATATTCTGAGATATCCTAATCACAGACCTCTGTGTTTAATTAAAAATCAGTTACCTACAAAGCTGCTGGTGACTGGTGGTAGGCATTGTTTGTTCTGATTCTCTATCCTATGCTTACAGCACTACTTCAAATAAGCTTATCACCTGCTACCATTACTGTACCTCTTAATTCTACCTTTTATTCAACCTACACTGATGCTAGATCATCTACGAGACCAGAAAAATGTCCTATCTATGTTCTGCTGTATTGTGCACCCAGGTACTATATCAGCCCTGCAATGGCAACTATCCAACCTCCAGGCAAGGACTATATCACATTATAGTTTTATAATTCCATTTTGAAACCACTATTTTCCTAAAACTGGATACCACTGACTAACTCAAGTCATCCCACTTTCCTCATGAATCTGAAATCTACCCTCCTGGATGGTCTTCAGTCTTCAAAGTAGCATATTGCTCAGTCAATTCTATCTTCTTTCCATTCTCATTCTGTACTATCTTCCTGTGATAAAATGTTCCATATTATCCAGTTACATAAAGGAATGTGTTGGGTTTAATTATGTACTAATTTAGTAATTGATAGCCTGAAAATTGCAACTGCCACTTGTGTAACTCCCTCCAATTCGTAATTGGACAGAGGTTACTTTGAGATTGGATTGGGCTTAAGTAGTACTCCCCTGTTTCCATAGGATTGTTGTAAGTAGCATCAAATCTTATAACTCTTATAACTAAGGTAATTTATGAAGCATTAGGAACCAAATTAAATTCTAGAAGGTTTTTAGAGTTGTTGAAAGCACAGATTTCAGTTAGACTGATATGTGTTTGCATAACAACTTTACTCCTTGTTTTAATCATCACTGAACTGTTTTAGTGCCCCTCACTTCATTTTAAATGAAAAAAACAGAATTTACAATAATTACTTTTGAAAAAGTTAAATTAGGTGAATCATGCAATATGCTTACCACAATGGCTAGCACATGTTAAGCACTCAAAAAACAGTTGTTATCATCGCAAGATTATTGTTACTCAGTTGTTGAGGAAATACAAAAATTATAAGGAATTATTTTGGCAGATCAAAACATAATTTGACACCATTCAATAATTCCTAGAACCTCTGCACTAAATAATGTGGCTTACTATGAGAATTGGCTTAAATGGCTATATGTCACTGAATAGAAGAAACAAAATAGAAACAAAAAAACTTTGATACATAATGGAGAAAAATAACACAGTAAACCAGAAATGAAGAATAACTTAAAAAACACATAACAGACAAGAGGTTTAAGGTCTCCTTAAAATATAGTCAAACTAAGCCACATTTTTGTCTACATCGTTCTGTTTGTGATGATGCTCTAAAATGTTCAAAGTTTAAGCATAATTTGAAGAGATTTCAGCAGAATAATAAGGTAATAAATAGATAAAGGAAGTAAGACCATGAGGAGAAATACAAACTTAAAAAAAAGAAATGAGGCTGAGTTATATAATATTTATAGTATATAAAAAATATTATTCAATGGAGAATGACAAGCTATTTTCCTTCACTACTTAGAATGTAGGAAGATCAAGGAGATTATACTGAAGAATAGAGGGTATAAGCTACATATAACAAAGAATTTTCCAACAGTTAAGAATGCTAAATGTGAAAATTAGTTATCCAAGGAGGTCCTTTACAAAGAAAGAGAGTTTCATCATCTAAATTAGTTTAAATGTGATCTTGCCTGAAAGCCAGAAAATGGGATCTACTGCCTTTCAGTATTCCATGCAGCCTTGTGATTCTTTGAATAAATATTTGAGTAATGTTATTATATTTTTTGCAATGGAAAGATTTTGTGCTTGTAGGATAGATTACCAGTCATATTTCAGCATCACCTTCACACATTCACATTATCATACTCCCCTGAAGAGATATGTATATCCTCTTACAAGTGGGTTTCCTATGGAGGCTCTAAGCACAAACTCTGTTCCATATTGCCTTTATCAGGATTTGATGCTGAGCTCAGTGGGCATTAGAGCTTTTAAATGAATACATTTCAGAAGCACAGAGAACTGAACTTTAAATGGCTTATATTGTTCATAAAGCCTCTAGCCTTTAGAATAAAGACACCAGTGCATTCCCAGGAAATACTATTTGCTATCCCCTAAACACTATAAAATAAAGTGTTAGGAAGTAAGGTTTTATTCTGAGAAGAGGCAAATACAAACATGAAATGCAGAAGAAATAGAAGATTCCTATGGTATTAGGCTGGAATTGGAGGTTTCCATATATATAGAGAGATATGTGTGTGTGTGTGTGTGTGTGTGTGTGTGTGTGTGTGTATTATATATATCAATCTACATATATTAATATGTATATATAAAATGCCTAGCTCTACCCACTGAAATTGCCTAAAAGCAACAAAACACCATTGACATCAAGAAAACAGAGGTCTTTGTAGAAATTAATAATTCTAGTACTAGAAAGGGAAAATTATGAGATATTCTTGACGCATCTTGTATCAGAAAGTCAGGAAGTCAGTCATTCCTTGGTATCCACAGGGGATGGTTCCAGGAGTCCCAGCAGACACCAAAATTCATAAATGCTCAAGTCCTTTGTGTAAAATAGTCTAGTATTTGTATATTCAGATTCTGCCCTATATGCTAAAGCATCTCTAGATTACTTACAATACCTAATAAAATGTAAATTCTGTGTAAATAGTTGTTAACTGTATTGTTTTTATTTATGTTATTTTTATCATAATTATTTAAGTTTTTTTGGAAAAAAATTTTTATCCTTTGTTGGTTGAATCCACAGATGCAGAACTCATAGACATCGAGGGCCATCTGTATTTGTTATCAGTGATAAAAGTTGAGCTTTCAACCAAACATTAGAATTTTGGAAAACATGCACCTACCACCAAAATCTTGACAGATTCCCAGTACTTAGCCTTTGTTGATGAAATTGATGGTAAGTCTCTTTTTATATTTCATAAATACATATGTCAAAATTGTTTTTTCTGCATAACTCATTGAACTAATATTCCCAAATGGCTGTAATGTCATAACATCACAAATGGAGAAGGAATCCACTCAAAGAGCAAGGTAGGCCAATAAATTTTAATGTAGTAAAGTACAAAAAGCTTATTTGTATGGTTTTATATTCCGTGTGCAACTGATCTTAAAGAAACTACCGCTTGTCAAAATTTGGTGTGACATCAAAGATGTATATTCACGCATTTCTGTGTGACGCTGAATTTTCATCGTGTACTTCAACTAAAATAACATACCACAACTGACTAAATAAAGAAATAAATATGAGAATCCAGCTACCTTGTGTTTGGCCAGTCTTTAAAAAAAATAGCCAAAATGAAAAACAATGTAATCATTCTTTATTTGGGTTTTGAAGTGTTTATTTATTTATTTAGTCAGTTTTGAAATACTTAATGTTGATATAAATATGTTTTAAGGTATATTATGAGTTTATTTTAATGTTAAGGTAAGTTAATAAGTGAAAGTTTTAAATTACCAATATTAATAACTAATATGGCAAATCTAGATAAAACATGCATAACACGAACCTTTCTAGGGTAATAAGAATTTTTCAAGAATATAAGAAAGTATCTAAGAATGAAAAATTTGAGTGTCTCTGTTTTTCAAAAATAAATTACAGGCTGCACAATGGTAGCATTTCTTAATTTATGTCATACACTATAGGTTAATTCACAGCATACAATTATAAAATTGTACAATAATCATTTTTCTTTTTTAATTTTTATGGATTTTTAATTTTTATGCATGTTTTATGGAGCACATGTGATATTTTGATACAAGCATGCAATGTGTAATAATCAAATCTGGGTAATTAAGACAGCCATCACCTCAAAAGTTTATTGTTTCTTTGTGTTGAGAACTTTATGAATCTTTTCTTCTACTTATTTTGAAATATACAACAAATTATTATTAACTATAGTAGACTTATTGTGCCTTTGAGCACTGGAACTTATTCCTTCTAAATAAATATATTTTTGTACACATTAGCCAACTCCTCTTCATGTCTCCCTCCCCACTAAACTTTACAGCCTTTAGTAACCACCATTCTGCTCATTATCTCCATGAGATCAAATGTTTAGCTGACACATATGACTGAGTACATGTAATATTTGTCTTTCCATACTTGGTTTATTTCACTTAACATAATGACCTCCAGTTCCATCCATGTTGCTTCAAATGACAGAATTTCATTTTTTTGTGGTTAAATTATATTACATTACCATACATACCACAGTTTCTTTATCTATTCAGCCATTGATTGGCACTCAGATTCATTTGTTTTCTTGGCTATTGTGAATAGTGTTTCAGTAAACATAGGAGTGTAGAATCACTACAATATACTGATTTTTTTTTCTTTTGAATAAATGTCCTGCAGTGAGATTGCTTGATTATGTGATAGTTCTATTTTTAGTTTTATTTAAAATCTTTCTTGCTGTTCTCCATAGTGACTGTATTAACTTACATTCCCACCAAGAGTGTACAGGTGTTCTTTCTCCATGATGTGTTGAACATTTGTTATTGTCTGTCTTTTTGATAATAGTCATTTTAAGTGGAGTGAGATGATATTTCATTATGGCTTTGATTTGCGTTTCTCTGATAATTAGTAATACTGAGCATTTTTGCATGTCACTTTTGGTATTTATATTTTGATGAATCTTTATTTTGATCTTTTGCTCATTTTAAAATCAGATGATTATTTTTTTCTGTTGAGTCATTTGCATCACTGATATACTCCGTTTCTTAACCACTGGTCGGATGGATAGTTTACAAATATTTTCTTTCATTTTGTAGCTTTAATTTTAATTTGTTTATTGTTATCTTTGTTATGCTTAGAAGTTTATTAGCTTGACGATTTTCTTGCAGTCCTTTCATAGTTTCAAGGTTTACATGTAAGTCTGTGATCCATTTTGATTATATTTTTGGGTATGGTAGGAGACAAAAGTCTAGTTTTATTCTTCTGAATATGAATATCCCATTTTTACAGCTTCATTTATTAAAGAGGAGGTGCTTTCCTTACTGTATGTTCTTGGTGCTTCGATCAAAAATGAGTTGGCTGTAAATGCATGGAATAATTTCTCTTTTATTTTGTTCTGTTGGTCTATGTGTTTGTTTTCATGCCAGTACCATGCTCTTTTGATTACTATAGCTCTGTAGTATATTTTGAAGTCAGATCTTGTGATGCCTTCAGCTTTATTTTTGCTCAGAATTGCTTTTGTTACTTGGAGTCTTCTGTGGTTCCATACAAATTTTAGAATTTCTTATTATTTCTTTGAAGAGTGTTATTGATATTTTAATAAAGACTGCATTGAACATGTAGATTATTTTGGGTAGCATGGACATTTTAACAATGTTAATTCTTCCAATCCAGGGCTGTGGGATACCTTTCCGTTTATTTGTGTCCTCCCCAACTCCTTTGTTGTGTTTTATAGTTTTCATTGTAGAGATGTTTCAAATCTGTTAAGTTTATTAATAGATATTTTATTTTCATAGCTATTATAAATATAACTGCTTTCTTGATTTTTTCAGATTTTCTATTGGCATATAAAAATGCTACTGATTTTTGCATGTTAAAATAATGTTATGATTTTGATTTTGTATATTTTAACAATTGTCTTCCTCCTTTCCAATTTCAATGCCCTTTCTTGCCAGATTGTTTTGGCTAGGACTTCTAGTTGAATACCAGTTTAAGAGGGTATTCTTGTGCTGTTTTAAATCCTAGAGAAAAGGCTTTCAATTTTTCTCTGTGCAGTATGATGCCCGTCATGAGTTTGTAATATTCAGCCTTTATTGTTTTCAGGTATGTTCCTTCTATATCTAGTTTGTTCAGAGTTCTTATCATGAAAAGATGTTAAATTTTAACAAATATTTTCTGGCATCTATGGAAATGACTGATCATCTTCTTTTGATCTTATTAGGCACTGTGAATATAATCTGATTTAGGAAATATTTATAGAAATCCTAGTTAGAAATGTTAATACTTATTATCAGAAATGTAATTACCAATGTTTCACATTATGGGGGACTCTCTCTTGCATTCAGTGAACGTTATTTACTAAGTACATTCCTGAAACTCAAATGCCACCATCTTTGCAAAGACACCATTGACTTACCCTAGACATCTATAATAGTTTTCTGATTATTAATTTGCTTTCGTTGTTGCCTACCAAGCTCCCCAGGAGCCACAGTGAACTTTTTATAAGACACTTGAAATATCATCTTTTTTTTCCTACTTCAAGTTTTCAAAAAGCAAAGTTGTTTTCGTTGATTTTTTGATGGAAGCGAACCTCTCCTTTTTTTGATGGAAGCAAACCTCTCTTAACATGGTCTAGCCAATCCTGTCTCATCTGGCCCTTCCCTACTTCTCTGCCCTCTTTTAATACTCTCCTCCTTGTCCCGACTTGCTCACATTGTTCCAGTCACTCTGACCCCTTTTTGTTTCTTATGAATGCCAGGGCAATTCCTCACTCAGAATTTTGTCCTGAAATTCTAATTCCTCACAAAACTTAATTTGTCTTGTCTCAGCACATATGTAAGCCATTATATTGGTGCTCTCATTTCCAACAGATAACACTCTTCTATTGGAGTTATTCCAATGTTATACTTATCAGTGTCCCCAAAAATTATTTTATTCGTGTGTTTCTATGTTTATTGTTCATCGTACCAATCAGATTTATAATCTCTGTGAAACAGAAAACTTGACTTTCTTACTCTCTAATGTGTTTCCTGGGGCTAATTCACAAAAGGCATCTGACAAATATGTGTAAAATAAATAAGTGTGTTGATGTAAACACTATCTTTGGATACATAATGTTTTATAACAATATTAATATTAATTATGAACATTCTTTATCTTTTAGCTGTGATTATTTGAAACAAAACTTTCTAGGTTATCTTTTAATATTCTAGTTTCCTTATTAAATTAATGAATCAATGTACTGATAAAGGTGGAAAGATGCAAAATATAAGATGCGGTTTTTATACATGATGATTCATTGTAAAATCTTATATGCGAGAAAGTAGCTGGTTTCAGAATTCAACTTCCCCTATAATTGTTTTACCTAAAAAAATGCTAGAACCTCACTGTCTGATATATTTCCAATGGCCACAAATGTCTATTTAAAGTAAAATTAATTTAAATAAAATAAAAAAATTTAGTTTTCTATTTGGACTGGCTACACTTCAGTTCCCCCAAAGACACACATGTCAAGTGGATAGTTGACAGCAAACATATAAAATATTTTTATTATCACAGAAATTTCTAGTGAGCAGCATTGCTGTAGGACATGTAAAGCGCTAATGTTTTCGGCAGTATATTATGATTATGATATAGAGCATGCATTGATAGAAAGAAAGTTGTTTCTTTTTAGCTTATTTAAACATTAACTTAGTTCTTAATTTTTGTGCGACACACCACTTCAACATTAGTGGTCTAAAAAATAACTTATTATTTCTGTCTATTCGGAAGGTTGGCTATGGTCAATTGGTTGATCCTTCTGTTCTTCATAGTATATCTAAAATCACATATTTAGTTGCATTCATCTGGGAGCTCAGCCAGTTCTATTAATGTACAATATGTCTCTCATCATTCAGTATATCTCTCCAGGAAGCCTCTCATCATTCAATGGTCTATTCTGATATTCTTCATAGCAAAGTTGTTGGCTTCCAAGATGAGGTATTCTAAGAAGGCAAGCTCCAATGTGCATGTGCTTTTCAATCCTCTGCTTGAATCATACTTTTTGATGTTTCATTGGAAAGAGTAACTAATATGACCAACCTCAGAATCAGTGTAAAAGAAAATCATACAAGTGCTTAAATACCAGGAAGAGTGATTATTTGGGACTAATAGAGCAGTCTATTACAAACACTGTTAGCAATGATCTAAGAGACCACTGATTTGAAATTAGATAGATAATTCAAAGTTTCTCAGGGTTGGAAGGGACATTTAAAGGCCTCTATGTCAGTCTCCTTGGGCTGCCATAACAAATACCAGAGATTGGGTGTCTTATACAACAGACATTTACATTTCACACTTCAGGAGGCTGGGAAGTCCAAGATCAAGCTTTCAGCTGAATCAGTTCCTGGTGGGAGATCTCTTCCTGGCTTTAAAATGTCTGCCTTTCACTGTGTCTTCAAATGATGGGGAAAGGGAATACTCTAATGTCTTTTCATCTCCTTTAATAAAGGTACCCTTTCAACTCAGGGCCCTGCCTTCATGGCCTCATTTAGACTTTATCACCTCTTTATAGGCCCTATCTTCAAAAATCGCCACAGTCGGTCTCAGGACTTAACATACAAATTTGGGAGAAAAAAAAATTTCAGTCCATAGCAGCCTCTAAGTCTAAAACAATAAAAACAAAACAAAAATAAATCTGATGCTGGAATACAAGCTATAGTTTTTGGTGTTATTGCTGTTGTTGCCAACCGAACTTTTAAAGTTTCTAAAGTATCACAGGACCTAGTACTATATAGGAGATGAACCACTTCCTTAAAACTGTGAGTAAGGCAACACAGCCTCATCTATCCTGCAGCTTTGCTATCGCAGAGCCCATCAATTTCCTCCATATAAAAGGAGGAGAGAAAGAGAGAGAAGCCAAGATATAACTTTTGTCCATAATGCACTAATTAGGCTTGTAAACTGATACTTCTTGTTTGCATTAATAATTACATATAATTTAAGGTATCAAAAACATATTATTCTATACCAAAATGTAAATATAACATATTATATTATAATTGCTTATTTAAGAAAGACCTTTATTTTGCAGTTAAACAGGTTCAAAAACTAATGTGACTTAATTCAATTCACATAATAGAACAAAACTGAGATGCAATAACTCCTAATTTCAATAACTTATTAAGCCACAGGATATGAAATATAAAGGAATGTTAATGGCTTCCCTAAATTGCCATATTCTTTTCATGCAGTTTATTATTACCTATCCAAATGTTTTGAAAATAAAAATAAAACAAAAAGAAAGTGTGGTTTCAAAATGGAAACAGTAATAAGAAGAGTACCTCTAATGGTGGTTAGTTTTCTAAAATAAAGTGTTTTAAATTTTTACTACTTTAATTGTTAAAGAGAAAATGATGAGCAATTGCAATTGCACATTTGGTTTGAATGAGAATGAGATGATTTGGTGAAAAACAATATGAAACCCTCTAATCTTTAAGAAATATTGTCAAGGAAGCATAAGAACATTTGTAAAATAGTGTATTGTTAAAAAATCAGACTCTATAATTTAGAGAATACTCCTTATCTGCTGTATTTTACATAAGTTAAGCAAGTCCTGAGTTTTTAAATCCTGGTGAGCAATCTCTCCCTCACCTTGGAAAGAGCTTAATCATCTATTAGTCTTTAGGGAGTTTTAAATATTTATAAATCCAAATTTTTAAATGTATAAATGATAATAAGATAGAAAAGCTGTAAGTATAAATACAACTGAGTTGTTCATCTACAATACTACATTAATTCAATTACATTATTTTATAAATTCATTTACTTATTTAAAATTTGTAAAGGAGTAACATTTGCACTTGTTCTGTTTATGAATCAAACATAATATTATAGTAGGTATGATTATTTAAAACACCAGCTGCCTCCTTAAATACATTTTACTATTTCCTTTATACAATAGACATTATGACATTACTTTAAATTTAGTTTGATAATATGTGTCACATAAGACACAAAAAAGTTCTAATGTCAAATGAAAACAAAAGGAAAATGTACGATGTAATGAATATACCATTCTATTGACAATAAAATGGGACACAATTTTATTTTTAGAAAACAAAATTACTACCATTTTAATTAAAAGATGATGAGCTGGTTATTATTGCTGCCTGGGAAGTCTGCAAATATACTGGGGGTTATCACTGCAATAATCTTAATTATCATCTTTGGAGTCTGTACAAATTACCTGTGCTTTAGCTCAGTTGATGACCAAATGGAAGCATTCTCATAGTGCTAAGTTGCAAGTTTAGTGCCAAAAACTGCAAATAAGATATTTTATAGCAACTTAATAGACTTCTTAAATATTTTGAAATTGCTGATCATCATCCATGTAATCTCGCTACATCTACAATTTAAAGTTTTACTGCGGATCTAGAGTATGGGCAAATACAAAGTCTCTAGACCACAGCAGTCTGACTTCTACTGATGTGCTGTGCAACTTTGTCAGGAGGAAATAGGAGCATATAAATGTGGTACTCTGTGGGGGAAAGTTTTTGGATTGAAAGATTAGCTCTAATCTGGGGTTACATGGAGTGTTCATTGATTTAAAATAAGTGAAAGTCATTTTGTGAAAGTTGTGAAAAATAATTTTAATTGACTATTCTCTGTAATAAGAAAACATGAAAGTCAAATTGTCAGCTTGTCACCCTCTCTTATCATTTCCCCCTTTTTTATAGACTCCCTGGGATTTCTCAGGTTTCCATGTTTATTTTGTAAGTGCTCATAATTCTCAAATTATATTTTTCTTAAAGATTTATATACCTAATGTTAAATGACAAGTTAATGGGTGCAGCACACCAACATGGCACATGTATACATATGTAACAAACCTGCACATTGTGCACATGTACCCTAAAACTTAAAGTATAATAAAAAAAGATTTATTGTTTATCAGTATTTTGAAAAAACTTTTAATGAGATATATGAAAGAATAATAACATATAACTCCTAATTACTTATACTTTAAATCACTGTGTTTCAAAATCACTGTAAGCTGGTGATTATGTCTTTGTAAAAATCTCATATATTTTATATTTACATAATCTGAAATTTTACAAGTCAAAGACTTTATACAGTATGGAGAAAAATTAATAGTAATAAATGAATTGTGGTAATTACACAAGTTAGTGAGACCTTTTTTCTTTCTCCCAGAAAATGTGAATTCTAGGCTATTTGCAGCCTTGTAACTTATTTCAAATCTTAAGTCAGAGGACATTAGTTCCAGATTAAATAAAATATTCGTAAGTAGACCAGAACTGTAGTGAGTGACATTCCTTAATCTTGTCAATCCTTATTTTCAATTTTTTGTAAATCCAATTCTGTAAATTGCTTTATTCCTAGTTGGCACTGGAACTTTACCAATCAATTCAGTAATATAGATGTAACCTCCACGAGAGTTTGATACATTGTATTTAAGTAGTTTGCAATTGAATTATATTCCCTCATTTAAAGGAGCTATAGTCACTTGGGTTGGTTAAGTATGGGAAGACAGAGGTATAAGGCTGAGTAAACTGAGGTGCAGAAACTAATGACTGAGTATAAGTAGAATATGAATAACAGAAGAACCAAAAATCATATAACTGTACTAACAGAGACATATCATTTCAGTGAACAATTCAGAAAATTTTTCATGGTAGAAAACCAGCCATAAAAGATAGCAATTCGATACTTAGAGTTCCTTCAACCAAAGATCTAAAAAACAAACAAAAAAACCAGATTCCTTTAAAGAAAAATCATGATGTCATGCGGTAAGATTTAAATTAGAAACTAGGGGTGAAGAAAATCCCAGAAGAAATAATCTAAAAGAAAGTACAGCAACAGGCCAGCATCCTTGAAGAAAACGTTCTTATTAAATGAATGATATTTATATAACAGAAAGGTCAATGAGAATTGTTAGATTCTGTTCTTAGATTGATAGCTATAAGATATTTTTAGCTCTGTTTCTTAGTTTATGTATTATATTTGTCTTATATTATATTTTTGTTGTTGATAATGATGGTTTATTTTTGTAATGGGTAGAATAGCAGAATAGTTAGAACATTTTCTGAAGCCATTATGCCCGAGTTTTTAATTTCACATCTAAATAAGTTCCTGAAACTCTTGTATCTTATGAGCAAGATAGTAGATAATAAAATGCATCCACATGACAGGATTGCTTGGAAAACTCTGTGGATGAAAAGGTCTTCAAATAGACCTTACACATTATAAATACCATATAAGTGTTTACTATTATGTGTCGATATCAGCAATGAATTTATTAGATTATGTGAACTAACATACAAGTATCAGCACTTATTTCACACATTCCTAGTGGAAGAAATTAAGGGTCTGCAGACGAATATGTTAAAAAAATTATCCTGGCTGCTGCTTCAGAAATAACACTTTCAAATACAAACATGACATATGTTACAAAAATTTTTTGTGAAGTGTTTTATAGTTTAGATATTTTATTTTTGATTTTAATTTTTGAGAGAGAATCTTGCTCTGTCATTAAGGCTGGAATGAAATGGCCTGATCTTAGCTCACTACAACCTCAATCTCCCATCTCAATCTCCCAAGAAGCTGGAACTACAGGGACAGGTCGCCATGCCTAGTTAATTTTTTGATTTTTTTTTTCTTTGTAGAGACGGGGACTCACTAGGTCCCCCAGGCTGGTCTTGAACTCCTGAGCTCAAGTGATCCTCATGCCTCGGCCACCCAAAGTGCTAGGTTTATAGGTGTAAGCCCCCAAACTGACCAGTTTTTTAATTTTTTAATAAGAAAATTACAGCTTTTAAATATCTTAGTTTCCCAACCAAACATAATTACTTTATAATATTTGTTATATTTTAATAATATTTGATATAAAATTAGAAAGGTAAAATATTCAATCAGTAAATATACAATTACTCCTTTTTTAAGTCAAACAAACTCATGAGACAGTTGAATTTTAACTACTACCCTAAATTTCATAATCTATCACGTTTTCAAAATGTATAAACTCAATATTACAAATAATTCCTCTGAAAATAGATATCAATGAAGAACAGCAAAATAATGTTTCTTAAATTTTCTAAGCAAAAATATAAGAATTCAATTTATGTTAAATGCTTTGTATTTTAAAACTTTCAGAGATACCCTGTATTATACTATAGAAGATAATGATTTAGATGATCTAAAAAGATTGTGAGCTGTGCAATCTTGGAAGAATGATTATTATATATCAACATTTGAAATTCAGGAATCTCTGACTCCTTATCTAATCAACTCATCATGATATACAGAGAAAATAACATTGTTTTTATCTCTCAATTAATATTCCATACTAAAATTGTATGATATCATAACTAAGAGCATATTCAAGGGGTTGCTAAAATATGTATGCCTGAAAAATATTTTGACAGAAGTTATCACACTCTGCAAAACATTGTAAAAATAAACTGATCAAGATACTTTCATGTCACCTACATAACAAATAAACATCATACTGTCATATACTGTTATTTTTTAAAACCTGACACATAAAAACCTGCTCACATTTACCAAAATATTATTTAGCACCTGTAATTTTTCAACATTAATGAACAAAGGCATGTTATTTCAATGTTTGTCCTGTTCTTTTTCATGCATGAGAATTAGAAATGGGAATTCTCAAGCCTGACAATAGTTGAATAAAATACTTCAATGTTCTTTAAGAGAATTTTACTACATTAACATTTCTTATCTGTTAAAGACCTTATATTAATGACCAATTTAAGTTTCATAAAGGATTATGATAAATTCAAGGAAAATCAATGTTAAGAACTTCTTTGGTGGGGCGTGGTTGCCCACGCCTGTAATCCCAGCACTTTGGGAGGCCGAGGCAGGTGGATCACCTGAGGTCAGGAGTTCGAGACCAGCCTGGCCAACATGGTGAAACCCTTTCTCTACTAAAAATACAAAAAAAAAAAAAAAAAATTGCCAGGCATGGTGATGGACACCTGTAATCCCAGCCACTCGGGAGGCTGAGGCAGGAGAATCACTTGAACCTGGGAGGTGAAGGTTGCAGTGAGCCGAGATCTTGCCATTGCACTCCAGCCTGGCAACAAGAGCCAAACTCCATCTCAAAACAAAAAAAAAAAAGAAAAGAAAAGAACTTGTCATTTTGTAATATAAATGATGCAAATGATGTTACATTGCCATTTATTTATTTTTACAATGAGTAATAAATATTGCAGCAGACCAGAGGAGATATTATTAGTATAATGTTCAATGAACATTTGCATCCCTGAAAATTCAGTTGTTTTAAATGCTATCTGAAATAAGATGGGTTACAAATAACCACTATATCACTACAGGAAAGAGGAGTTTTAATTTTAAAAACTTTATATCTTAGGAATGTGTATCATATAGAGTTGCAGAAAATAAAACAAATATGGGTATTACTTATATTTCAGGGCCCAGTGTGTTAACTGGGGTGTGGATTTGTCTTCTGAGTCGTCCTTAACAAATTATAAACTTGAATGCCTAAAAGAACATAAATATATTATCTTAGAGTTCCGGATGCTTTAAGCCTAAAATCAAGTTGTGGCAGGACCAACCCAGAAGAGATTTCATTCCATGTCTCTTCTAGCTTTTGGTGGTTTCCTGAGCATTCCTGGATTTGAAGCCACATCATCTTCATCTGCCTCAGTCTCACCACAAGGTAATAGGCAATTAAAGATTTTCTAAAAAAGAATAAATTATATAAAAGTTATAGTGATTTACCACTGACGAAGGTAGAAAGATCTTAGAAAAAGTATCTTATGGGAAATAAAATTTGGCTTGGATTTTCAAAACTTAATAAAAATATTTTATGTATATAGAAAAACAAAAAAGTCATTATAGATGAATGAAAATGAATGACTTAAGACAAGAAGATTCAGAGTACCCAGTGAGTTTAAAAACAGTAAATAAATTGCAGACAACTTATGGAATGCATTGAAGATTGCAATCTATAATCAAAAAAGAATCAAATGCTTTGACCAAACAGTTACATAGCTCATAGAGGTAGACTGTAGTCTATATAAAAGGCTAAAAATTAAAACAAAATATTTATTTAAAAATGATGAGTTCATGTCCTTTGTAGGGACATGGATGAAACTGGAAACCATCATTCTCAGCAAACTATCGCAAGGACAAAAAACCAAACACCACATGTTCTCACTCATAGGTAGGAATTGAACAATGAGAACACATGGACACAGGAAGGGGAACATCACACACCGGGGACTGTTGTGGGGTGGGGGACAGGGGAGGGATAGCATTAGGAGATACACCTAATGCTAAATGACGAGTTAATGGGTGCAGCACACCAGCATGGCACATGTATACATATGTAACAAATCTGCACGTTGTGCACATGTACCCTAAAACTTAAAGTATAATAATAATAAAATTTTAAAAAATGTAAAAATAGTTATTTCACCCCAGTTAAAATTGCTTTTATCAAAAAAGACTGGCAATGATAGATGCTGGCAAGGATGTGGAGAAAGGGCAACCCTCATACACTGTTGGTGGGAATGTAAATTAGTACCATCAATATGAAGAACAGTAGGAAGGTTCCTCAACAAAGTAAAAATAGAACTACCATATAATCCAGCATTTTCACTACTGGTATATATTCAAAAAAATAAAATCAATGTAGCAAAGAGATACCTGCGCTCCCTTGTTCTGTGCAGCACTCTTCACAATAGCCAAAATACAGAATCAACCTAAGTTCCCATCAACAGATGAATAGATAACAAATTATGGTATATATACAAAAAGGAATATAATTTAGCCATAAAAGAATGAAATACTGCCATTTGTGGCCACATTGGTGGAGCTGGTTTGTTTCTGCCAGCAACTGGACTTCAGGCTTCAAGCATCCAGAACTCTGAGAGAATACACTTCTGTTCTTTTAAGAGATTGAGTTATAATTTGTTAAGGGATTCTCAGGAGACAAATCCACACCTTTATTAACACACTGGGCCTTGAAATATAAGTAATACCTGTATTTGTTTATGTTCTACTAGTGGTGAAATATAGGTGAAACTAGAACTAATTTTGCTTATTATGTTAAGCAAACTAAGCCAAGCTCCGAAAGATACATATTGTATGTTTTCATTCATCCATGGTAGCAAAAAATAATGGATCTCATGAGAATAGAGAGTTGAGGCCAGGCGCGGTGGCCCACCCCTGTAATCCTAGCACTTTGGCAGGCAGGGGCGAGTGGATCACCTGTGGTCAGGAGTTGGAGACCAGGCTGGCCAACAAGGTGAATTTCCATCTCTACTAAAAATACAAAAATTAGCTGGGCATGGTGGCTCATACCTGTAATCCCAGCTGCTCAGGAGGCTGAGGCAGGAGAATTGTTTGAACTCGGGAGGTGGAGGGAGGTTGCAGTGAGCTGAGATTATGCCACTGTACTCCAGCCTGGGTGAAAGAACGAGACTGTCTCAAAAAAAAAGAGAGAGTTGATTGGTGGTTATCATAGATCAGGAAGTGTAAGAGAGGGAGAATGAAGTGTTGATTAGTGGGTTCAAATACATAGTTTGATAGAAGAAATAAGACCTAGTGTTTTATAGATCAGCAGGGTGATTATTGCTTACAATAACCTACTGTACATTTCAAAATATCTAGAAGAGAATAATTTGAATGTTCCTAGCATAATAAAAAGACAATATTGAATCTTATGGACATCCTAAGCATGCTGATTTGCCCTTTATAAATGTTATGAATGTATTAATTATCACATGTACCATGAAACCATATACATTTATCATGCATCAACTCAAAAAATGTAAAACTAGCTCTCTCACAAATGCATGCTTAAACCATAATATTTAGCTTTGAAATATTACTCCTACTTCAGATCATATAAAATAGGGCAAAAAAAGTTGAAGTAGAAGTAAACAAAAATAAAGGAATCTGAGTTTTAGACATGAGAGTAATGTTTGATTAAGCTGAATGAATGAGTTAACAACATATTATATATATAATTGTATTAGTACATTTGCATTACTAAAAAGGAATACCTGAGGCTGGATAATTTATTTTTTTTAAAGAAATGTTTATCTGGCTCATATTTCCGCAGGCTGTATAAGCATGATGCCAGCATCTCCTTGGCTTCTGGTGAGACCTCTGGAAGCTGTTACTCATGGTGGAAGGTGAAGGGAGAGTGAGGGAAAGCAAGAAAGAGAGAGAAAGAGAAAAGTAGGGAAGTCCCAGCCTCCTTTAAATAATCAACTCTCCTGTGAACTAATTACCATAGGGAGGGCAGCAAGCCATTCATGAGGGATCCAATTCCGTGAATCAAAACCTCCAACTTTGGGGATCATGTTTCCACATGAGATTGGAGGGGGGTTACAAAATATCCAAACCATATCAATAATAATGTAATTTAAAATATTTTTAATCAATCCTCAGTTCAGAAGTATTTACCCACCTATTAATATGTGGTTGGTATACAAATGTCAGGCAATGGGGACTCAACTATTCTAATGAATCTCAAAACAATGAAAGTGTAAACAACAGGTCAATTAGTAAATGTTTTCAGTCTGCCCAATCTGTAGATGTCATTCCTTCTCTAGTATTGATCCATATACCTTTATATAATCTGTTTTAATTTTTACTTAATCCCACTGATAAAACTCCTAAGACACTGCAGATTAATAGGCTTGCCATACATTTTCTTCTCTATAAATGGAAATGTTCAAAACATATCCTGAAGTTGCCTGCTTTATTTCCATCCTACTCTTGGTAAAGGGAATCTATGGTATTCTAATTTTCATAGACCTCAGTGAACACTCACACACTGATTAGGTGTGAAGAAGTAGATGAATAGAGTCCAGGCCACAGTTTGGCCTAATTTGAAGTTTACAGACAAGACTTTGTGGGTAAAACTGAGCTATATTTCCAGCAATCAATGTGTGTAATTGTAAGACTATGTAAAATATGATTATAATGTATTTTATATGCAGAGGTATTATGTTCTCTCTAATCTAGTTATACAAACATACATCAAAAGGTATAAAGAAACAAAAAAGCTTTAGGCAAGAAATTACCTACTTACTTATCTTTCTTCCTCAGAGAACACATGAAGCCATTTTCCCCAGCAAAAAGTACAGTGAAATTGATCTATGTAGTGAGAACAATAATGATAATCTGTTAATCCCATTGTTTTATGAGAAAATAAACTTACATAGTAGTTCTAGGGATTTCAAATCACATTTGGTGATTTTCTCTAAGGTTCTCTATACAATTACAAATACATCTAGTTAAAGTTGAAAAAAAAGTTAAAATTGCCATATTTTAAAATAATTGATAGTGACAAATTACATAGTTAAGTAAATATTTCTACTGTTGCTATTAATATATTGTCCCTGAAACATATTAGTCTGATTCAGCATGGCTTGAGAAGAGATGCAGGGTAATAAGTTAAAAGGAAAAAGAAGAAACTCCATACAATAAGATTAGACTCAACAATTTATTAATATCCGGTTAGTGTTTCCTACAACTTCAATATTAATGGCTTTCAAATAACACTACAATAAGTCTACTGTGGGTGGGATATGTTTCTCTATATATGCATATATATAAGACTGGTGTCAAGTGCTAAAGTATATATACATATTTATTGATATTATTTAATTAATTATTTTTAAATCGAAGTTTCACCAAAATAGAGTCAAAGAATGTATATAGTACCATGCAGTACTTATTTTTCACCCCAAGGTAGGATACATGAAATTTTTAGCAGACTCATCTGTGAATATCTGCTTAAATAGGTGCAAACGTAGCACGCGTAACTTTTACTTTTCTTTCAGAAACAGCAATATTAAAGAAAGCTCCTGTGTGGTAATTTTTTTCTATTATTCATCTCATTTAAAATAACATTTTAGTGGGAGGAATTGAATAATTCTCTTTATCGCATAAAAATAGAGTTGAATTTCAGAAAGCTTGCTGTCAACAAAGTTACCCCAAAATCAATAAAAATAATTGTTTTCTTTCATTGTCAACCCAAGAAATATTGGTCCTAAGAGCTTTTGAGAAAGATGTTCCTTTGGTAAATACAATAGGAAAATGTGTGTGTGTTTGTAGTGTATCAAACTTCCTTTTCAATGCTTTACATTATTGTTCATGTTTGATTGTCATAACATGTTTAGGAAGTAGATATTCTTGACATTCTTCATTTAAAGATGAAAAAAGCACTTCTTAAAAGAGAAACTTCCCCACAATCACACAGCTAGCAATTACACACAGCTGGTTCCAGTAATGGCAGAGAAGCTTGTATCAAATTAATCCTCTTGCAGAAAACATTGCCAATTCTTAGGCAGATATAAAAAAATCCTGCTAAAAGTTGCTGAAACATGATCAAAGGCAGCCAAATATCAGGAGGAATTTAACCCTTGAAATAAAGGATTTGCACTGGGTGACATGTTCATTTATTTAGCTTTTCTTCTAAAGGCACTTCTCATTTCTTATTGAGCAGAATATAAGCAAAGAGTCACAGGCTTCTTGACCTGAGGAATGTGGGACATTAAGAGAAACTGGAAAATGAAGGGGTCATGAAGATATGAGAGAGCCAGATGTGGATAAGCCATAAATTCTGTATATAAATTCTCCTAGGTTTTTGGTTGACCCCAGAGCTGCATGCAAGATTCCAAAAACCTGAGGAAGAAAACCACAACTGCAAAGCTTGAAGACCTGAGCAGAGATTTTAATGGTTTCCCAATGAAGTTTGGAGTTTGAATCTTGATAATATAAAGGAATTTGTTAAATGCTTTGAACTTTCCATAGATATTCTAGGAGAGCACCCCTTATATACTAAGATATTTTCCTTAGGACTAAGCACAAAACCCAAATGGACTATAATTACTAAATGTAAAACCAAATACCCCCAAACTTAAAGTAATCTTCTGGTTATTTAATGCCCATTACCACAAAAATTAACAATCTTCAGAAGAAAATTACAAAATCCCAAATATTATATTGCAATATCATATAGCGTACAATTGAAAATTATTAGAAATGAGAAAAAAGAAAAATATGTAACACCAGAATAAAAGAAATCATTCTACAAATCATTACCATAAATTGAACAGGTGTTAAAATTAGGAGACAAACTATAAAATTACTACAAAATAATGGGGTTAAGACCCAAGGAACAGTAGAAAATAATAAAAGAGGAATTGGGGAGTTTCATGGATAATTAGGAGAGCATAAAAAGGTATCAAATTGAAACCTTGAATAAAACTGAAAAATCAAATATCTGAAATAAAAGAATATATATATTAAATAAGATTGAAAGCAGATTGGGTATTCCACAAGAAATCATTAGTAAATATAAACTCAGGACAATGGAAGTAATTGGAACAGAAGTACAGAATGGAAAAAGAAAACAGGGTGAATAAGCTTTAATGATTCCTGAGACATTTTAATACATATGTAATTTCAACCTCAAAAGGAGGAGAGAAAATAAAATCAACATAAAAAGATATATTTAAGAAATATATGCTGAAAACGTTCCAAATTAGAGCAATCTATAGAAATATCAATACCAATATATTTAAAAGTAGTTGTTGGGTCTTGTACATTTATCTGTGTGTTACCAGCAGAAGTGCTGACATCCTTAGCCCCAGATGATTTTTTTCAAGGATATTTGTTTAGTGAAGAGCCTTAGAAGATTGAGATAGTGCCTTTCTCCAGAGCAAAGGGCAGTTTGTATGTGTGTGGTTTTATTTTGTTGTTGTTGTTTATTGCCTATTATAATAAACATAGTGTCTTCCTTCAGTGCAGAAAACAGGGAAGTTTATTGCTTATTTTAGAAGATTTGGGTTGCCTAAGCTCAGGTTTTATGTTCTGTGCAGGACTACAGGAACCTGCTAGGTGTACAGGCATCACTTCAAACCTCTTTGCAGAATTATGTGGGAATTGGGACTCTGTGAACCAATGCAAATGCTGGTAGTCTGGCCACTGCTTTTGTTGTGAGTAATAAAGACCTTTGTCTCTGACTTAGAGGTTTTATGTCTTCTGAGAGCATCCATGAAATTTTGGAAGGCTAATTTGTTAGCTGTAAGTAGGATAAAACCGTAAACCCTTTACAGTTGTTTACAGTGATCAGAATCCCAGAATCTGAAATCTTGAAAGAAGGAAAGAAGGGAAGGAGTGACAAAAGCAAGAAGGGAAGGAAGAAAAAAGAATTAAAAACAACAAACATGAAAACAGATTACATTAATGCTGAAACTAGGAAAGATTATCACAAATGTGAGCAGCACCACCTAGAAACCAAATATTTTGACTCAGGTTAAGACTAATATTTATTAATTTAAAGGCAGTGTACTGTGCTCAGTTTTAGGTGCATTAATTTAGGGATAAACAGAATTATTCATTGAAGGAATAGGCTATCCTGGAATATTACAGCTTCCCTTTTCTAGAAAGTATTTTCATGGAATCAAATGGCCATTTATTAGTTTGAACTCGAACTTTGAAAATATGATCATGTATGAGCAGTTAAATAGAATGCAATTATTTCTGCATCAGTAAAACAAGTAGGTTTAGAGAAGTAATTCCAGAGTCACTTGCATCTATAAATCGTTCTATGAATTTCCAGAAACTAAGAGAAACAAAGGTGATAACCAATGGTAAGATTGAGATGCCAATTTGCTGAGTCAGCCAAATTAGAATGTAGACACCAGACTTACATATCAAAAATAAGAATGGTGTGGTCAGAACACTTAACATGAGATCTACACTCTTAAAAACCTTTTTTCCAGCTTTACTATGGGATAATTTACAAATAAAGTTCATATATAATTAAAATGTACTACATTATTTTTAGATGCATGTATTTATTATGAAATGATAACCACAATCAAGATAATTAACATATCCATTACCTTACATAGTTACCTTGTGTGTGTGAGGCAGAGAAAGAGAAAATATTTAAAATCATTCTCTTAGCAAGGGTACAATACATCATTACTAACTGTAGTAACCACATTTTTCATCAGGTCTCCAGAACGTATTCATCTTTTAATCAAAAAATTGTACTCTTTGACGAATATTTCCCCAATTCCCCTCCCCAGCCCCTGGCAATCACCTTTCTGTTCTTCTTCTGTGAGTTCGAGGCAGTGGTGGTGCAGGGAGCAAAGGGACATAAGGAAACTTTTGGAGGTAATGGGTTTGTTCATTAACATGATTGTGTTGATCGTATTCTTGGTCTGTGCATATGTATGTCAAACTCATCGCACTGTATACATTAAATATGCACAGATTTTTGTACTATAGTTATACCTTAATAAAGCTGTAAAAAAATAAGAATGGTGTCAAAAGTGCTACCTTGTTTCTCTCTCTGTTTTTTGTATTCTTATTAAACCTGAATCAATCTTTTTAAATAGGTAAAATAATTTTTAATCCTATCAGCTCTCTATTATTTATTATAGTTATAAACGGTTTCATGGTATGGCCTTTATCTGAACTAAACTGCATGTTAAACAGTAACAGGCAAAATGAAATTTGGACATGGGTACAGATAAAGTAGGATGAGAACCATGGATTTATAATGTAAAATTCGCTTGCTTTTGAGAGAATAATGACATTAGAATATCAACTATGCCATGGGATATTCCAGGGAATGGATTTCTGAGTCAAAATTTGGAAAGGAAACTCACGTCATCTTTTATTTCTCTAATCTCATGAAAGAAAACAGAATTGATGTGAAACTGATTTTTTGGCTTGATTTTTGTCAAAGCTCTGCTGATACAACATTCTACGAGGAAACTTTTCTCACTGTAGCCAAGGAAATGTCTGTGTATTAACAGACAGAGAAGCAAACATAATTACACTATCCCATTCTTTGTCTACTAATCTTAAAATATGAACAGTTTTAATAAAATTGTTTGTATCACAAGTGACTAAACCATGGCAAAATGCTAATTTAGACAGTATTGGAGGATTTCCTGATTACTTGGTTTCATGACTTCTATTTTTTTATTGTTATTTTAAATTGAACTTGCCAAGTTAATTGTGTTTAGAGTAAGGCATTTGAATACTCTCAGCATGAGCTTATATTTATATTACCAAAAATAAAAATCACTTCAATTACAACAAAGTCTGACAGTCCACAGCCATCAGCAAAAGAACAGAAAACTGTTTCACAAAGCTTTGGTTTTGTTACAAGATTAAGCATAACCTGAATTTATTTTAAGAGCCTTAGAAAAAGAAAATTAGATTTTTTTTAACCAATGACAATATAACCTCTCAAGTAGATAAATTGAACTATAATGTGTCCTTGTGAATAATTTCCAACAAAATGATCCGTTACATACCTCATTCCATGGATCTCAAACACTGGGACATAGTCATCTATGGCATGAGCCACACAAGCCACAGAAAACACACACACACACACACACACATACACACACACACACGTAGATGGACATAAATAATCTTTCTCCATTGGATGAAGACATTTCTGAAATCCATAAAAATAAAATAAAAAACAAATAATTTTACAATTTAAAAAAGAATAACAAATATAAAAAAGCCAAGCAATGGCAAAAGTCTAATTGAAAGTTTAGTAAGCTTGAGAAATGCCAACATATGTTGTTGAAAATGTCTGCTACACACAGAAATGAAGTTTGTTCCATGAGATAGCAATGTGATCGCTCTTGAACAAGAAGATGGGAGAAAATCCTTAAGTATATGATCCTAAAAAGTGATTTGTTTCCACCCCAGAAAAATTAGAAAATAGATGTTGTTTTGACATGTAGTCTTTCAACAAACAAAATAGTTATTAAATGCTTACATATACCAAGAACTGTTCTCAATGTGGGGCGTAAAACAAGGAGCAAACAAATTATCTGATTTTATATGAGGACTAAACTCTGATTTCTTTATCTTGCTCAAATTCCTATCTAAGGGATCTGGGGAGTCAGGCCGTACAAACCATAAATTCTCATCAGATGGGTTTTATTTAACCCTATATATTGTGACTTATTTTCCAACCTGACTCTGGCATAACATTACAAGACAAGCAAGAAAATCAACATATTTTATCCTCAAAACATGTTTTTTTGGTCACATTTTGAAATGACCCTACAAATTGTCCTTTGTGGCAGAAAACTCACATCTCCAAAGAATCCCTATTAACATAGCTAGACCTTTTCCTTCAAGGCCCCTCCATTTCTCAATAGATTAACTGAGAGCCTGGCACCTTTTAAAGGGTCTGAAGAGGAAAAATTTGCCATCTATTGTTTCTATGGTCAGCCACTATGAAACATCAAAAGAACCTTGTCTCCACAACTTTTATCTTAACCTGAACATTTCCTTTCTATTGATCCCAGGTCGATAGACAAAAACTCAAGCAATAGTCAACAAGAAAATGCAGAAAATGTTCAAATTTACCTATAGCCTGGAAGTCCACACATCCCACTTCAAGCTTCAAGTTGTCTCACCTTTCTGGAACAAACCAATGTATTCCTTAAATGTATTTGATTGATGTCTCATGCCTCCCTAAAATCTATAAAACCAATCTGCACCCTAATCACCTTGGGTACATGTTCTCAGGACCTCCTGAGATCTGTGTCACGGGCCAGGGTCCCTCATATTTGGCTCAGAATAAATCTCTTAAAATATTTTACAGAGTTTGACTCTTTCCGTCAACATATAGAGCCTACATTCTGGTGGAAAGATCAAATGCAAATGAAGAAAAAACAAATAAAAAATACACATATATATTTGGATATAACAAAAAAAAACACAACCAGAAAACATTGTAACATAACAAGATGATAGAGCAGAATAAGGGATCTAGAAAGGCCTCTTGAGAAAGTGACTTCTGAGGAGTGATCAAAAAGAAGTAAATGAGGAGGAATGTTTCAGAAAAAGAGAATGATGGATTCTAAGGTGTGAGTAAATGTTTTAGAAAGATTATGTGCTGCACAGCAGGGCACCTAGATCTCCGTTACTATAGGGAATGCATTAGAAGATAAAGTCCAAGAGAAAACTATGCCTAGCAGATAATTCAGGACTTTATATTCTATGACAAGCCTTAGGAAATGTATTCTAAATGGTTGGTAAACCATTTGAGTGTTAAGTATCTGCATATGGGAGAGAGGGAATGAATGAATTTAAATTTTAAAATGATTACCAATTGCAACTTAATAATGGACAAGGAAAGATTCGTTGGGAGGCTATGGCACCAATTCAAATGGGATATGATGGTGTATTGTTCTAAGATGGAGGGAGTTTAAAAAGTGTTCTACTTCTGGAACAAATTTGAAAATAGATATAACAGAGTTTGATGATGTTTTGTAGAAAGGGTGTAGGAGAAAAAAAAACCAGTCCATATGTTTCTAAGTTTTTGTTGTGAGAAAGTCAATCCTGGAAACTTCTTATTTGGTAAACACTGGGATAAGCATGTTTGAAGAAAACAAGAAGTTTGGTTTTGGATATTTTGGGTGTGAGAAGCCTATGAAACATTAAAGTTGAGATGGAAAGTAGTGAGTCTGAAATATGAGTCTGGATATAGTAGAAATATCATGACTCTAAATTTGAGAGTCATCAGAATAAAAATGGCATTGAAGGTCATGGAGCTGAAAGAGATAGCCTACAGAGTGAATTAAAATAAGAAAGATAAGGGAGCAGAGAGCCCTGAGCCCTGGGCCATCCAATGACTGGGTGGTCAGAAAAATAACAACATTCCAGCAGAAGTGAGTGGGAAGAAACAGCCAGGAAATTAGGAAGAAAATCAGGAGAGTGTGGTTTCCTGGAAGCAGAAGTGGAGATATTGTTGCAAAAGAGAATTAACAAGTATGTCAATTGATTCCAAGGATATGAACAAATAAGAAAAAGAATTTAATCTGACAAAGAAGTCATTGATGACTTTTACATGAATGGGTTTAGGGAGATAATAGGTATAGAAGCCTGAAAGGAGAAGAATGAATGGTAAAGGACCTACATTCTTCCTAAGAGGGCCCATCCTTATATGACCTCATCACAGCCATAAAATTATAGAAGACTCCATTGTCACTCAAATTATGACTGGCACTATTTTTGAACTCTATCTTGAGCCAAATTTTCTGGTATGCTCAGATTCACGAGTTCATTCACTAGATATTCAGACATAAAAGTTCTACCAAATAATAAACAATTTTCCAGAAAATTAACAAGACCATGTGGGAAAATAATGACTGGATAGAAATAAAATCACCTAGAAGGCTTTAAAATTGCAGACTTCTAGATGCCATCAAGTGAAATTTAACTTTACTTGGCCTGAAAATAGGCAAGCATTGGTAAATTTTAGAGATCACTAGAGAATACATGTAGAATTCATGTTTTGAATCAAGAGTAAGAACCAAAAAAAGGTGGGGGATGAAATGATATTTCTTAAACGCTCTGTTTCTAGCATTGTACTAGATATTTTATATATTTGTATTCAACTTTACATATGAGAAAATGAAGAACATATTAGAGAGCTTAAGCAAAACTTCTCTAAACCTGAGGGCCTTTGAAGCCCATAAAACTTAAAAATATCTGGTGCCATAATGTCTATCTTGCGTTTTAACCTTGGTTCACATCTTAGCTTTCATTATTTCTGTTTGTACTAAACTTCACAGCAGTCTTCCTCCTCTTTTTCTGTTGGCCTGAAGCACAGATAAATCCTCTAGTCCATATGCCAGATACACATGTGGTGAAGGCTTTATGAGGAATATTATACCAAATTAAACAAACAAAAAATACAGCATTGTATTTGTTCCAAGCTGCTCTCGCTTGGCTGCTGACATTTATTATTTTTTTAAAATTTTCAACTTGAAATACAAAAACAGCCATTTGAAACCAACTATTCAATTAAATTCTTTTTTTGCGCAAACTCAACATTCATTGTCTTTTAAAATTCAGCTGGTTATGTACAAATGGTTGTTAAAATTAGTCTAAAATCTTAAGCATTTCTTTTTTTTATTTTCAAACCTTTAGCTGTAAGATTGCCCAAATAATACCTCACGTAATTCAAAATACAATGTTTAAGACTACTTGAAAACACTGTTTTTATATAATAAATATTTTAAAAGAAAAGACAAGGGGTAAAAAGAAAGCAAGGTGTAGAAAGGAGAGATGTTGAAATGTGAAATGTATATTATTAATTCAAATACACCCGCAAGAAGAGTGTAACACATTTAGAGCCAAGCTTTTCAGCAGCCAGTGCAAACCGGAGAACATTATCACTTTGTTTGTTTATAGTACACTTAAGATAAAAACAAACCAGATGTTACATTGAAGAATAACCATGCTTGGTCCTGAGATGAGAGGAATATTTCTCCTGCAAACACTTGTAGTGAACACACTGTTATATAGTAAACAATTTGAATGAAATTGTTATAGTAAGTTCAGCAATGCATTTTATAGGTCTCTTTCTGGTTAAGTAGACTAGTGGCATCAAGCCAAAGAAATTCAATAGTGTGATTATGAGGGAGACTAAAACAATATAGGAAAAAAAAAACTTTTGATTTTTTTTTTTCTTAATTAAGTTCTAAATTCACTCCTCAGATTACAGCAGTGTGGAATGGTGAAACAGCCATGATTAAATGCCTTTTGTGCCTCAGGTAATATATGGAATATAGAGGCCAGACTTATTAATCTGTACTCTGTTAAGTTATGAGGAGAATTAAAGGGATGTTATTAAAAATAACTGAAACGATGTATAATAATAGTTTTTCAAAATTATTTTATTATTCCAACTAACATGAGAAAAATTATGACTTAAACATTTTGGGTAATACATATTTAAGAATAATACAAACATGCTTTATATAATTTATTTCTTATTAAGTTAGAATTGAAGAAAAATTACTCTTGAGAAGAAATTATTGTTTGCATACATTGCATTAAGTATTTCTGCCCACATTACAAAGACTGGTTTTCCATACACACACACACAGATCAAGAGAGAGAGAGAGAGAGAGAGAGGGACAGAGTCATATATTAAATTTTATCATTAGTGCATCTTTTGGATTTTGTTTTGTTTTTAGTATGGATTCAGTTAAGTAATTAATCTAAACATTAAATATTTAAATGTTTCTAAAGATATTAAAATTATCAACACCTAAATATTTACATAATATTATTATTCCTTTACACAATGCTTCCTATTACTAACCCCATAGTAGAAAATTAATAAAAATTAGAAAAAATTGTAAGTATAAAATATTACAGTATAAAATTACTGCATAATGTAAAATATACTCTAAAACAAATTTAGAATTTCATAAATATTTGAAGATTTTACAAATCCATAAATATGCTATTTGGTAATATTTAAGTTCTTTTTTTTTTTTTTTTTTTTTCTGAGACATAGCCTCACTCTGTCACCCAGGCTGGAGTGTATCTGCATGATCTTGGCTCACTGCAGCCTCCGCCTTCCAGGTTCAAATGATTCTAGTGCTTCAGCCTTACGAGTAGCTGGAATTAAAGGCGTGTGCCACCATGTGCAGTTAATTTTTGTATTTCTAGTAGAGATAATGGTTTGCCATGTTGGCCAGGGTGGTCTTGAACTCCTGGCCTCAGTGATCCACCTACACCGGCCTCCCAAAGTGCTGGGATTACAGGCGTGAGCCACCATGCCTGACCTATTTAAGTTACTTTTATAGACTCCATGGTATAATTCTGATTTCGATATATAAGAGTATAAAAAATATAATTCGAAAGGGCCCTTGGGCCTTGAATAAACAACAGCAGTAGCCAGGCAGTAGTAAACATGGGCTTGGGGTAGTGGTGGCCATAGGGAGAGACTCTTTCTGCTTAGTAAAAGGACAGGAAAAAGTAAATAGGACTTAACTTGCAACTTGGGTACCAGCTCACCCACAGTAAAATAAAGCACCAAGTAGATTCCTAAAGCCCCTCATTCCAGGACCTAGCTCCTGTATGGAATTTCTTTTTTTTTTTTTTTTTTTTTGGGCAGAATCTCCCTCTGTCACCCAGGCTGGAATGCAGTGGCATGATCTTGGCTCACTGCAACCTCCACCTCCGGGGTTCAGGCAATTCTCCTGCCTCAGCCTTCTGAGTAGCTGAGATTACAGGTGCATGCCACCACACCCAGCTAATTTTTGTATTTTATTAGAGACAGAGTTTCACCATGTTGGCCAAGCTGGTCTCGAACTCCTGACCTCAAGTGATCCACCTGCTTCGGCCTCCCAAAGTGCTAGGATTACAGGTGTAAGTCACAATGCCCAGCCCCTGTATGGCATTTCTAGGCCCACCTTTGGCCAGAAGGGAGTCTGCTGCCCTGAATGGAAATACACAGTCCTGACATGATTCATAACCTGTGGACCAAAGACCCCTTGGACCTCGAATAACCATCTACAGCATCTAGGCAGTGTCACCATGGGCCTTAGGCAAGACCCAGTACTGTGCTGGCTTCAGGTGTGAAAAAGTGCATTCCCAGCTGGGGTGGTCATGGGGACAGACTCATTCTGCTTGATGAATGGAGAGGGCAGAGTGAAGTAAAGTTACTCTTAAGTAAAGAGTTAAGTAAAGTTTTCTTGCAGCTTGAGTACCAACTCAGGCACAGTAAAATAAAATACCAAGCAGATTCCTAAAGTTCCCCGTTACAGAACTTAGGTCCTGGATGGCATTTCTAGACCCACCTTGAGCCAGAAGGGAAGCCACTTCCCTGAATAGAGAGACCCAGGCCTGGCAGGATTCATCACCTGCTGACTTGGACCTTCGATAAACAACTACTGTAGCCATGCAGTAGTCACCATGAATGTAAGACAGTGGTGGACATAGGGAGACACTACCTCAGATTGAGTACAAGAAAGGGAAGAGCAAAAAGCACTTTGTTTTGCAAGTTGGCTGCCAGCTCAGCCACAGTAAAATAAAGCGCCAGGTAGATATCTAAAATTCTTGATTCTAAGCCCTAGTTCTAGGGTTTAGAAATCTAGACCTACCTTGGGGAAAGAGGCAACTCATTGTCCTGAAAGGAAAGCCAAAGGCTGACAGGGTTTGCAATCTGCTGTCTAAAGAGCCCTTGGAGATTAAATGAACATCAGCAGTAGACAGGCAATAGTTGACACAGGCCATGTGTTAAACTCAGTGCTGTGCTAGCTTCATTTCTGACCAAACACAGTCCCAGTGATGGTGGCTACAGGAATGCATGTGTCACACTACCCCCAATTCCAGGCAGTTCAGCACAAAGAGAAAGACTCCAGTTGTTAGGGGGCATGTGAGGGAAGAGAATAAGAGACTGCCTGATAATTCAGGAAATTGTCCTGAATTATACAAGCCCACCAAGGTGATACTTTTATGAGTTTTCAAGAGTCACACTGTTACTGAGCTTGGGGTGCCCTATAATGCAAATATGGTGATAATGACCAAATTTAGATCACAACACCCAAGTCCTTTTGAAAACTTGAAAAGCCTTCTCAAGAACGACAGATATAAATAACTCCAGACTGTGAAGACTACAATAAATACCTAACTCTTCAATGTCCAGATATTGATAAACATCCACAGCTCAAAACCATCTAGGAGAACATGACCTCACCAAACAAACTAAGTAAGGCACCAGGGACCAATCTCAGAGTGACAGGCATACATGATCTTTTAAGACAGATAATTCAAGATAGCTGTTTTGGGAAAGCTCAATGAAATTCAAGACAACAAGAGAAGACATTCATAATTGTATCAGATAATTTTAACAGAGATTAAAATAATACTAGGATCTGTGCAGGAGGTAATAAACTCAATCAGAAACCTCTGAGAATCAGAAAAACATCTTCCTTTGTTTTGGGAGAACAAAGATTAGAGTTTCAATCATGCCTCAGGGAGATACCTCAAAGAATACACCAGGTTCTCAGCTGAAAACTCTTAAGAGAACAAAGGTGAACTGACTCTTACCAGGATCCGGCATAATCCTATTTAGAAGAGTTCTTGATTTAATTAAGGTCATTCACAAATAGGAGCAAAAATATTAATGGTTGCTATGGTTTGAATGTGTTCACCAAAGTTTATGTGTTGAAAACTTAATGCCTAATTTAAGTGATGAGAAGTAAGACCTTTAAAAGGTGACTAGGTCATAAGAGCTCTGCACTCATTAATAGATGAATGTTGTTATCACAGGAGTGGGTTTGTTATTGTGATAATAGTTTTGTTATAAAAGTGAGTTTGAGACTTTCATGCCACCTGTCTCCATGGGATGCCTTCTGCCACAGGATGATGTAGCATGAAAGCCCTCACCAGATAACAGTTCCTTGATTTTGGACTTCCCATCCTCCAGAATGATGAGAAATATATTTCTTTTATTTATAAATTACCCAGTCTCTGGTATTCTGTTATAGCAGCACAAAATAGACTAAACAGAACATTGATATTGAGAAGTGGGGCTGTTGCTGTAACAAATACCTGAAAATGTAGAAGTGGCTGTGTAACTGGGAAATCAGAAGTGGCTGGAAGTATTTGGAGGAACAAGCATGACAAAGCCTACACAGACATGAATGGAGCATTAAGAGAAATTCTGATAAGGGCTCAAAAGATGAGAGCTTTAGAGAGTTTGAATATTTTTAGGGATTACTGAAGTGGTCATGATCAGAATGTTAGTAGAAATATATACAGTAAAGGTTCTTCTGGTGAGATCTTAGATGAAAATGAAGAATAGTTATTGGTAACTGTTTTACAGGTAGATAGATAGGCATAAGCAGGGCAGGAAAGTGCTCTTCCCTTACCCACTAAGAATATCAGATGATGGTTTGACAGTTATCACACTGACTCTTTAAAAGTGAAAATTTGGCATTCGGAGTCAGGGTGCCAAGGAGAGACAATCTCCTGATGATCCACAGCTACTATCATTAAACTGTTAATTGAATACAGATGCCAGGGAGAAGAAACTTCCTGGGCATGTGCATTGAGACAAAATGGTGAAGTAACCATTTATGCAGAAGACCTTCTGCGTGCACTCCACTGGAAAAAGGGAGGAAAGCCTCAGATGGGCATGCATAGAATTACCTAAATACACTGTACATGCTCAATTCCCGAGGGTAAGGAGGGCACTGTGCATGCAGTCAGAAATAGGTGAGGCTGTAAAGTTCTAGAATCAAGATTAAATGCTCTCTTTGACCTTCAGGCACCCTCTTGTATCTCTTTAAAGTGAACTTTCCTTTCCTTCTTTTTTTTTATTTTATTGTTATTATACTTTAAGTTTTAGGGTACATGTGCACAATGTGCAGGTTAGTTACATATGTATACATGTGCCATGCTGGTGTGCTGCACCCATTAACTCGTCAATTAGCATTAGGTGTATCTCCTAAAGCTATCCATCCCCCCTCCCCCCACCCCACAACAGTCCCCAGAGTGTCATGTTCCCCTTCCTGTGTCCATGTGTTCTCACTGTTCAATTCCCACCTATGAGTGAGAATATGCGGTGTTTGGTTTTTTGTTCTTGCGATAGTTTACTGAGAATGATGATTTCCAATTTCATCCATGTCCCTACAAAGGACATGAACTCATCATTTTTTATGGCTGCATAGTATTCCATGGTGTATATGTGCCACATTTTCTTAATCCAGTCTATCATTGTTGGATATTTGGGTTGATTCCAAGTCTTTGCTATTGTGAATAGTGCCGCAATAAACATATGTGTGCATGTGTCTTTATAGCAGCATGATTTAGAGTCCTTTTGGTATATACCCAGTAATGGGATGGCTGGGTCAAATGGTATTTCTAGTTCTAGATTCCTGAGGAATCGCCCCACTTTCTTTCTTGTTCTAAAGCCTTTTTAAATAAACTTGCACTCCTGCTCTGAAACTTGCCTTGGTCTCTCTTTCTGCTGTATGCCCCGAAGTCTAATTCTTTCTTCTGAGGAGGTGAGAATTAAAGTTGCTGCAGATGCACATGGATTCACCATCAGTAATTCAAATCTCTTCCACCAGTAACAGCAAGAGTAAAGATCATTTTTGTTATACAGTAGCAAATAATTTGATGGCATTGTGTTTAAGTCTTAGGATTTTATGGAAGTCAGAATTTGAAAGCAATGAACCATAATATCTGGCAGAAACAATACCTAAACAGCAAAGCACTCAAGGTACTACATGGCTTTTTTATCTGTTTACAGCAAAATGAAAGAAGAGAGAAGTGACTTATAGATGGAATTTAAAATTAAAAGAGAAGTAGAATGAAAAGATTTGAAAAATGTAGCCTGACCAAGTGAAGAATGAAAAAGCACTTTCAGGAGACAGTACTAAAGGTGTGGCCAACTAGCAGTTTGCTAAAGTTATTAATATGGATAAAAGGAAGTCAGTGTTTACTTATCAAGACAATGGGTGAATGATTCCAAAGACATTTTAGATATCTTCCAAGCCAGCTAGGCCCTTGATGATAAGGTTTCCAAAGAGGTGACTGCAGAACCTCAGCATTCACTCTTCTTGCCAGCTATAAACTCTGTTCACTGAGTTCTGGCACTCCCCTCCTCAACCACCACAGCCATGGCTCAAGGGGGTCCAGGAGCAACTTGACCTTCTACTCCAAAAGATATAATCTATAAACCTTGGCAGCATTTACATAGTACTTATTCTACACTTGCAGGAAATATAAAAGCTGTGTACCCATAGTGCTCACCTCAATTTCAAAGGATGCATCAGACAGCCTGCGAGTCCAGGCAGAAACTTGCCACAGGAGCAGAAGGGCTGCAGAAAGTCATCACCTAGGCAATGCTTAGTGGACTCACGGGAGCCCCCAGAACTATGGAGCTACCAGCATGCAATGCCATACTGGTAGAGCTGCAGGCATGAGGTTCCAACCTGTAAGAGATGTTTGTGTACTGAACCCAGAAAAGGCTGTGGTGAGGCTGCCTGAGGCCTTGGGGACTTAACCTCTCCCTCAGTGTGCCAAGAAAGCGGGACATGGAGTCAAAGAAGAATATTCTGAAGCCTTAATATTTACTTGTTTACCTGTTGGGTTGTGGACTTACTTGGGACCAGTTACCATTTGTTTTTTGGCCTATTTCATTTCTCAATTTTGGAATGAGAATGTCTGTCTTATACTTATCCTATCATTGTATTTTAAAATTGTGTAACTTGTTTTCATTTCACAGGCTTACAGTTAGATGAAGTTTGCTTCAGGATAATTTCATGCCTTGAGTCTCACCCAGATCTGATTTAGATAAGATTCTGGACTTTTCAGTTGATACTGAATCAAGTTAAGACTTTTGAGGCTACTAGAATATAATGAATGTATTTTGCATGTAAGAAGGGGACACAGGGGTGCAATGCTATGGTTTAAATGTTTCCCCAAAGCGCATGTGTTGGAAGTTTAATCCCTAATGCGACAGTGTTGAGAGGTAGAAAGTTTATATAAGTTCCACCTCTCATGAGTTGTGGCCTTGTTAGTCAATCTGTGCTATTATTGAGAGAGTCGATTAGTTATCACAAGAGTGGATTTGTTATCAAAGTCAGTTCAGCCCTCTCTTGTTTCTCTCACCCTCTCTCTCTCATGCCTTCTGCCATGTTATGATGCATCAAGAAGGCCTCCTCCAGATGCAGCACCTTGATTGAGCTACTCAGCTTGCAAGATCATGAGCTAAATAAACTATTGTTTATAAATTACCCAGTGTGTGGTATTCCATTATAGCAGAACAAAACAAATGAAGATGATTGTTTATAGCATCACCCTTATCCACTGCAGATACAATTTAAGTGTCCCAGTGGATGCTTAAAACATTGAATGCTACCAAACCTAAGCACTGTGATACCTTGACAGTTAATCTGATAATCAAGACACCAACTGAGTGACTAACAGGTGAGTAGTGTATACAGTGTGGATATACTAGACAAAGGGATGATTCATATCCAATGCAAGATGGAGAAGGATAGCATGAGATTTTATCATGCTACTCAGAAAAGCACGTAATTTAAGATGTAAAAATTATTACTTTCTGGAATTTTGTATTTAATATTCTCACACCATGCTTGAACACATAAAACTTAAATACTGGAAAGTGAAACTTAGGTTAAGGGAGTAATAATGTATTTGTATTGTGTAACCAGGATTTAAAAATTACTTGGACTAATATATCCAAACAGCAAGAAATAGAGGAAGAAAACAAAGGAAAATGTGCAATTTTCACCCAAAATTGCATTGTTTAAATACATAATCAAACGGATACTATTGAAGAAGAAAATAAAATATATGTAATTAAAAAGTCACTAGATATTTACGAGACATCCAATTTAATAGAACATTACACAGAGCAGATGACAGAATAGATGACCTGGAAAACAGGTCAATAAAAATTATTCACATCAAAGAATAGAGGCAATTTTCAAAAGGAAAGACTTTTAAAGGGTATTAGATACATATGTGTTGTGGAATATTTTTTAACATGATATAGGGAGGAAAAAAATGATTTTCTTTCTAAACTTTATACTTCTTACTTGGGCTTTAGCCCTGGAACAAAAGACAGATTAAGAATAGATAAATCAACAAGTTTATTAACATGTGCACATCATGTATACATGAAAAATACATAGAAAAACAGAATTAATCTTAAAGAGGTGCCTTTGAATCCAGGCTTAAATATTATCATTTGCTGAAACAGAAAAAAGGGTGTGGAGAAGGCTGGGTATGGGAGGTAATCAGGAAAAGTTCAGAAAAATAGGAAATAGTTTGTTATGTCAATTTCTCAGTGCCTTCTCCATTGATGAGTCTCTAACCCAACAGTCAGACAGTCCTGGTGTGCCTGGGGAGTCTTGGAGAAGGGGACATCTTTGCCCCCTTGTCCACCATGGCAGGTACAGTTGGGACTTCTTCCACAGCAGCTCGGCATTGATGCAACTATAGACATCTTTTCTGGGACACATCAAGACGACTGCATCCCCACATGAGGAAGACCCCCAGGTTCAGGCTTGCATGGTAGAGTCACATCTCTATTTGAAATATCAACATTTCTACAGATGACAAAAGTGGCTGTCTGACCTGAATAGCCAGAGCTCTGAGACAGGAGTGTCTGAGAGATGGATAACTTTCCTGATGACCTGTCAGGGGAGCTGAGGTGGCTCCAAACCTTCCCCATGATAAGATCCCAGTGTGACTCACTGAGAGCTCCTCCAGGCACCTTTGTCAAGGCTGGGACCTGTACTCACCACTGAGTATTGCATTTACCCACCAGCTTTAGACACAACTGGTTCTTACCCTGGGACACATCCCCTACTGTCCTGAAGCCTGAATTATCCAACTAGTAAAAAAAAAAAAATACAGGGGGAAAATAAATAAATAAAAAAAGTGCACACCACAGAGGATGAGATAAGCTTTAAGAGACCTATCCCATTCCAACCTTATAGGAGACAATGACCTTGCTCAACACCAAGTGTATTGCTACTACGACTAGCACATGAGAAAGCCATCATACAAAAACTCTATAACCAAGAAACTCTGACAGAGTATTCACCCCTGAAAGCCCCAAGAACCAAATTAGGCTGTAATTAACTTTAAGCATTAAACTCCCATCCTTAAGGGGAAAAAATAAATTAAAAACAGAAAGAAACAGAAACACAGTTAAATTGTATTAGTTAGGGTCCTCTGGAAGGACAGAACTAGTGGACAGAATTTACACACACACACGTATAATAAACTCCCTTACATATATATGAACTGACATTCATATATGTAATTCGTTTGTGTGAGAATTGGCTCACACAAAAGACAAAGTCTTATGATAGGCTCTCTGCAAGCTGTGGAAGAGTGAAGCTGGTAGTGGCTCAGTCCAAGTCCAAAAGCCTCAAACTAGGGAAGCTGACAGTGCAGCCTTCAATCTGTGGCCAAAGACTTGAGAGTCCCCAGAAAGCCACTGGTGCAAGTCTGAGAGTCCAAAGGCTGAAGAACCTGGAGTCTGACGTCCGAGGGAAGGAGGAACAGAAGAAAGCATACAACACGGGAGAAAGAAGGAAGCCAGAGGACTCCACGAGCAACGTTATCCCACCTTCTTCTGCCTGCTTTGCCTTAGCCATGCTGGCAGCAAATTGGATGGTGCCCACTCACATTGAGTCTGGGTCTTCCTCTCCCAGTCCGTTGACTCAAAGGTCAATCTCCTCTGGCAACACCCTCACAGACACAACCACCATCAATACTTTACCAGTTATCTAGGCATCCTTTCATCTAATCAAGATTATGCCTAATATTAATCATCACATATATAAAACATAAATTCAAGTATGATTAGAAGAAATAGTCCAAATGAGAAGAAACCAGAAAAGTAACTCTGGCAATATGACATAACAGGGTTCTATAACACCCACAAAATATTACAGTAGCTCTCCAGCAATGAATCCAAACCAAGATAAAATCTTTGAAATACCACATAAGGAATTTGGAAGGTCAATTATTATTATTATTATTATTATTATTATTATTATTATTATTATTATTATTTTGAGACAGAGTCTCGCTCTTGTCCCCCAGGCTGGAGTGCAATGGCACGATCTCGGCTCACTGCAACCTCCACCTCTCGGGTTCAGGCGATTCTCCTGCCTCAGCCTCCCGAGTAGCTGGGATTACAGGCACCTGCCACCATGCCCAGCTAATTTTTGTATTTTTAGTAGAGACGGGGTTTCACCATGTTAGCCAGGCTGGTCTCAAACTCCTGACCTCAGGTATCTGCCCACCTCGCCCTCCTAAAGTGCTGGGATTACAGGCGTGAGCCACCGCACCCAGCCCAGTAAGTCAAGGAGGTATCAGAGAAAGCCACTCAAGGAGATATCAGAGAAAGATTAAAATTATAATACAGAAATTTAAAAAGCAGTTCAGGGTATGAATGAGAAATGAGAGATAGCTATCATCAAGAAAAGACCAGCATATCATAACTTCTAGAAATGAAAAGCACACTTGGGAAATTACAAAATACAGTGGAAAGTTTTAACAATAGACTAGAACATGTAGAAGAAAGAATTTCAGAGCTTAAATACAAGGCTTTTGAGGTGATCAAGTCAGACCAAAATAAAAAAAAAAAAACAAAAGAAATAAACAAAGTCTCCAAGATACATGAGATTATGTAAAACAGCCAACGCTAAGAATAACTGGTGTTCTTTTAGGAGAAGAGAAAGTAATATGTCTGGAAAACTTGTTTGAGGAAATGATTAAGGAAAACTTCTCTTGCCTGCCTAGAGATGTTAGCGATGTAAATATTCAAATCCAAGAAGCACATAATTAAAAATGTACACACTTTAAAAATGTATACTCCTGTCTCAGAGCTCTGGCTATTCAGGTCAGACAGGCAACTTTTTCATCTGTAGAAATGTTGATATTTCAAGTACAGAGGAATTGTGACTCTGTCATGTAAGCCTGAACTTGGAGGGTCTTCCTCATGTGGGAATGCATGATGTGTCCCAGAAAAAATATTCAAATTTTTGAATATTATTCAAATATTCTGGGACACCTTGATGTGTCCCAGAAAAAATATTCAAATACAAATCAAAGAAATGCTGAGATTTTCATTGCAAAAATATCTTCGCCAAGACATATAGTCATTAGGCTACCTAAAGTCAACATGAAACAAAGAATTCTAAGAGCAGTAAGACAAAAGCATCAGTTAACCTACAAAGGAAAGCCTATAAAACTAACATCAGACTTCTCAGCAGAAATCTTGCAAGCCAGAAGAAATTGGGGTTGTATCTTCAACCTCCATAAAAAGAACAACTGTCAGCCAAGAATCATGTATTATGCAAAACTGAGTTTCATAATCGAAGGAGAAATAGTCATTTTTAGACAAACAAATGGTGATGAAATTTTTCACTACAAAACCAGCACGACAAGAGATGCTAAAAGGAGCTCTAAACCTTGAAACAAAAGCCTGATATGCACCAAATTATAACCTCTTGAAAGCTTAAAACTCACAAGGCCCATAAAACGATAACACAATGAAAAACAAAACAAAACTATCTAGGTGAAAATTAACATAATGAAGAGAGAAAAAAAGCATCTCACATCTCAATATTAATATTGAATGCAAATGGTTTAAATGTTCCACTTGAAAGATACAGAATGGCAGAATGGAATAAAAAAATAAAAATCCAAATACGTGCTATCTTCAAGAGAATCACCTAACACAGAAAGATGCATATAAACTCAAGGTAAAAAGGTAGAAACAAAATTCCACCCAAAGGGAAATCAAAAGTGAGCAGGAGTAGCTATTCTTATATAAGACAAAATAGACTTCAAAGTAACAACAGTAGAAAAAGTCAAATATGGTTACTATATAATAATGAAAGGATGAATCCAACAAGAATATATTATAATCCTAAATTTACATGCAGCCAACACTGGAGGCCCCAGATTCATGAAACAATTACTACTAGTCCTAAGAAATGAGATAGACAGCAACACAATAATAGTGGGAGACTTCAATGCATCACTGAAGATCCTGAAGCTGTCTAGTGCAAGAAGTCTAGAAGATCTTCAGATCTTCTGTTGACAAAAAGTCAATAGAGAAACAATGGACTTGAATGACATGCTAGAACACACGGACTTAACAGATATTTATAGAACATTCTACCTAAGAACTGCAGAATATACATTCTTCTCATTACCAGATCTAACATTCTCTAAGATGGACTACGTGATAGGCCACAAAACATGTCAAAATACACTTTTTAAAAATTAAAATAATATCAAGTATCTTCTCAGAAAATAGTAGAATAAAATTAGAAATCAACTCCAAAAGAAACCTTCAAAACTATACAAATGCAAGAAAATTAAGTAATCTGCTTATGAGTGATATGTGGGTTAACAATGAAATCGAGATGGAATTTCAAAATCTATTTGAATTGAATGATAATAATGACACAAGTTTAAAACTTCTGTGATACAGTGAAAGCATTGCTAAGAGAAAAGCATACAGTGCTAAGTTCCTCCATCAGTCTGGAAGCACAAATTAACAATCGAATTTCACACCTTAAGGAACTAGAGAAACAAGAATAAACTAAACCCAAAGCTAGAAAAATAAAAGAAATAACAAAGATCAGAGAATAACTCAATGAAATTCAAACAACAACAACAACAAAAACAATATAAGGATCAATGAAAAAAAACTGGTTATTTGAAAAAATAGACCATTAGCTAGATTAACCAAGAACAGAAAATATAAAAATAACCTCAGTGAAACTGGAGACATTACAATTGACATCACAGAGATACAAAAAATCATTTGAGACTACTGTGAGCACCTTTTATACAAAAACTGGAAAACCTAGAGGAAACAGATAGATTCTTGGAAACATACAACCCTCCTAGATTAAATCAGGAAGAAATAAAAACCCCGAATAGACTAATAATAAGCAGTAAGATTGAATCAGTAATTTAAAAACTTCCATCAACAGCAACAAAATCTCAGGATCAGATGAATTCACAACTGAATTCTACCAGATATAGAAAGGAAAATTGGTACCATTCCTACCAAAGCTATTCTAAAACATTGAGAAAGATGGACTCCTTTCTAAATAATTTGATGAAGCCAGTATCACCCTGACACCAAAACCAAGAAAAGAAGAAAAGGCACAACCAAAAAAGAAAACTACAGACCTATTTTTCTGATGAACATAGATGCAAAAATCTTCACCAAAATACTAACCAAATCCAACAGCACATGAAAAAGATAATTCATCATGATCAAGTTGATTTCATTCCAAGGAGGCAGGGATGGTTGAACATATGCAAGTCAGTAAATGTGATACATCACATAAACAGAATTAAAAACAAAAGACATATTATTATCTCAATATATCCAGAAAAAGCATATGAAAAAATAGGCATTTCTTTATGATTAAAAACTCTCAACAAACTAGGCATATAGGAGAACTACCTCAAGATATTAAAAGCTATATATGACAAACCCACAACCAACATCATACTGAACGGATAAAAGTTGAAAGCATTCCCCCGGGGAACAGGAACAAGATAAGGATGATCACTTTTACCACACCTATTCAACATAGTTCTGGGAGTCCTAGCCAGACCAATTAGGCAGGAAAATGAATAAATTAATGAATAAATAAATAGCATCCAAATTGGAAAAGAGGAAGTCAAACTATCACTGTTTGAGGATGACATGATTGTATACCTAGAAAATCCTAGACTCCTCCAAAAGATTCCTAGATTTGATAAAATCTATGCTCATGGATTGGATAAATCAATATTGTGAAAATGACCACACTGCCAAAAGCAATCTACAGATTCAATGTGATTCCCATAAAAAATGTAACATTCTTTTTCAGATAATTAGAAAATATCCTAAAATTTACATGGACTCAAAAAAGAGCCCAAATAGCCAGAGCAACGTTAAGCAAAAGAACAAATCTGGAGGCATCACATTACCAGAATTCAAATTATACTACAAGGCTATAGTTAACAAAATAACATGGTATGGTTATAAAAGTATGCACATAGATCAGTGGAACAGGATAGAGAACCCCAAAATAAAGCCAAATACATATGGCCAACTGATCTTCAACAGAGCACACAGAAACATAAATTGGGAAGGGACACCCTATTTAATAAATGGTGCTGTGAAAACTGGCAAGGCACATGTGGAAGAATGAAACTGGATCCCTATTGCTCACCTTATCAAAAGTCAACTCACGATGGATCAAATACTTAAATATAAGACCTGAAACTATAACAATTCAAAAGACAACATTCGAATAACTCTTCTAGACCTCAGCCTAGGCAAAGAATTCATAACTAAGACCCCGAAAGAAAATGAAAGAAAAACAAAAATAAATAAATGGGACCTAATTAAACAAAAAAGTTTTGGCACAGAAAAAAAAATAATAATCAGAGTAAACAAATACCCCAGAGAATGAGAGAATATACTTGCAAACCATGCCTCTGATATAGGACCAGGATCCAGGATCTACAAGGAACGCAAACAAATCAGCAAGAAAAAAACAAATAATTCCATCAAAAAGTGAGCGAAGGACATGAATACATGTCTGTCCAAAGAAGATGCACAAATGGGCAACAAACATATGAAAAAATGCTTATCATTAATTATCAGGGAAACACAAATTAAAACCACAATGGGATACCACTTTACTCCTGCAAGAATGGCCATTCTTAAAGAGTCAAAAAATAATAGATATTGACATGAATGTGGGGAAAAGTGGACACTTATACACTGCTGGCGGGAATGTAAATTAGTACAACCTCTATGGAGAACAGTATAGAGATTCTCCAAAGAGCTAAAAGTAGATCTATTATTTGATCCAGCAGTCACACTACTGGGTATCTTCACAAAGAAAAATCATTATATGAAAAAGACACTGGCACACATGTATTTATGCCAGCACAATTCACAATAGCCAAGATATGGAACCAACCTAAGTGCCCATTGACTAATGAGTGGATAAAGCAAATGTAGTATACATGCACAATGGAATACTAAGCCATGAAAAGGAATGAAATAATGCCTTTTACAGCAACTTGGATGCAGCTGGAGGTCATTATTCTAAGTGAAATAACACAGGAATGGAAAACTAAAAACTGTATACTCACACTTAAAAGAAGAGCTAAGTTGTGAGTACCCAAACACATGCAGAGTGATATAATGGGCTTTAGAGATTCACAGGGGAATGGTGGAAGGAGGTCTAGGGATAAAATCTACACATTATGTACAATGTACACTACTCAGGTTATGGATATAATAAAATCTCAGAATTTGCCACTATATAATTCATCCACGTAACAACAACAACAACAAAAACACTTTTACCCCAAAATCTATTGAAATTTAAATAAATACAGGAACACAAAATCTTTTCTTATACTCCATATATGGACATAAATTTGAGATGAAACAAGGATCACTTTTGGGGACCTGCTGGATCCCCACAAGCATGGAAACAAAGAAAAACTCTTGAGTCCCTTCAAGTGAAATTCCAGGCACTTAACTCTCCCTGAAAAGTAAGTGAGCAACCTGATAGGCAAGAATATATTAATAGTAGTCTTCCAAGCAAATCAGTCACAAGGTGTTTTTGGTTCCCTGCTTAAACTAAAAAATAGCACCTTAACATATATTCTTAAATTGTCTTTCAGAAACCCCTACCAGATGGAAAATATTGATTACTATCACATAGACCTTATATAAGGGGGAACTGAGTACTGAACTCTGACCACCATTCTTTTTTCTAAATTACTTCCTGAAGAGCCTGAAGAGAGTCACACTCATGGATCAAGCCCATGCACAATCTCCATGTATTGGTTTACAATGTTGCCTGCAACTCCTCCTTTCCTGACGTATACTCCAGTCTATAAAAACCTTTGCTTGTAAGCGATCAGGATGTTTGGGTCTTAAGTGTTAGTTACCCATTCTCCTTGCTTGGCACCATGCAAGAAATGTCTTTTTCTCCTACTGCAAATCTCAGCATTAGTGTCTGGCTTTACTGTGCCAGACAAACAGACCTCAGTTTGCTATGGCAACAAATTAAAGAATCTTCCAGAAAATATGGTGCCTATTATCATTCATTTGATTTTTGAATTCCTTCAATAACTTATCCTTAAAAACATTTAGATTTTAATCTGTCCTATAGAGTTTATGTATTCAAAAATAACAAGAATTTGAAAAATAATGCCCCAATATATAGATAATACAATTGATTTTTCCAAAATACAATTAATGATTTTTTTATTAATCTAAATTATTATGTATGCCTTATTTCATTTATGATTAAATTATGATGGTTAGAGAGGCAATTTCAACATAAATTAATCTGACTATAAGAAAAAAGTTGTCTTGGACATTTTTCCACAATTTTCTTAAATTTCAAAGTCAGAATTTTACTTAACAGTTTGTGTTTCATGTACAGCTTCCCTTGAATTATGTGCTAGCTGATGATTTAACCTATTCTGCATATATGAAATTTAGTTTTTAAATATAAAAGCACTTATATAGACGAATGCTGTCTTTGTTGTATATAGTCTCTCTCTCTAAAAGAAAGGGATTAGATGCTTAAGAAAAAAACTAACCTGATTGAAAAAAGATATTCATAATTCTTTTATACTAACCATGCTTCTTACAAATATAACTATATATTTCCATTAATATGTATACATTTTCATTTGACAGAATGAAACAAATGAAGAATTGATACATAAAATACTAAATGTCATTAATATTAGAAGAAAATGGTATATTACTGAAAATGCCTTATAGGTTTGCACATATAAAGATTCCCATGGATGTAGAGAAATTTCTTGGGTAGGCTAGTGATTTTCAGAGTCTGCTTGGGTAAAAACATGCGGTCTGCAAAGCAGAGTTCCCATAGGTCTTAGCTTCTCAGTCCTTGAAATGCTGTGCCTAGAAAGTATCCTGTTGTTGCTCAATTGGTAACCTGTAAGTTGTTATACAAAAACCTATCCTGTAATAGAAATGACTTCACCTTCATTCTCAAGAAAATTGTCCCTGGGATACATAAACCCCTCCGTAGCATGTGTTGCTGTCTTTTGTCAGATATTCTTCCTTTTTTATATTTTTTCCTTATTTTTCCTTTTAAGAATTGACAATTAAATAGTCCCTGGGAATAAATATAGTTTGTAGTCGAAAATAATTTGGAGCTAGCAATAAAAACCTTTCACGTTCAACACCTTTTTCTAAAAATAAGGTTTAATTTTTTTTCACATTTACTATAATTATGCACATTTTACAATGGTATAAAATGTTCTAACTCAGAAAATAGCAAAAAATAGAATAATTTTAAATTTTTGATAACCTGTCTTTGCTGGTTTATCTAAAATAATATTGCTGTATCTTGTACATCCTGAAAGATTATGCCTTGGACAAAATCTGAAAATAAAATGTCTATCCAAAGATTTTATATTTGGTGAATATATTTAACAAGGCATTATTTCTAAAACATTATGTTGAGAATGTCATAATTATACTAGGATGGGCAAAATCCCTCATCTTAATGGCAAGAATTTATAGGAGGTATCAATGTGGAGGAAAGTGTAGAGTACAAAGTGTTCTTTCCTAATATTCCTCTTTGTACTGTTATATATATATATATATAATAGCACCAAAGGCCCTTAAATAAATAGATATTAGATCTACAAGTTCATTATCATAAGATTGTTATTTCACAGTGAAAAAAACTGTAATGTATATCACAGTGTTTATCAGTTTCTAATAAAGCTGGATTTTTTTTCCAAAAAGTAACACACTACAGAAAACTCAATGTCACCATTACCAAACAAAGTAAATTAGGGTGGACATATTCCATTATGAAACCAGAAGAAAATAAATACACACTTACTGTTATTTTTTAAGTTTTCAAATAGATTATTTTCTGTTTTCCATGTTCTGTCTAATTTTGTAAGTACTCTATCTTTAAGACTCCTGATTTCTTCAATAACCATAGACTAAATCACTTAATTTGTAACTAAAATTTTATATACAGCACATAGTCTGAGGCTAGTTGTCTTAGTCATTTTGGATTGCTATAACAAAAATACCAAAGCATTTTGCTTTTGAAAATAACAGATACTTTTCTCAGTTTTGGAGGCTGAGAAGTCCAAGACCAAGGCACTAACAGAAGAAATTTCTGGTGCAGACCCACTTCCTGATTCATAGCATAGGGACAGAAAAGGTGTAAAACCTTTCTTAAAAGGATCACCGCCTACACTCCTATATAAAAGACAGGTTAACAAGAGAAAAGCATAACAAATTCACTTAATCAAAGTTTTATGGGGCATAGGAGCCTTCAGAAATAAAGACTCAAAGACTCAGGAAAAACTGTCTGTTTTTGCTTAGGTTCAATAAATATTGGACAGCCATATAGAAATGTGATTGGACAAAAGAGAATGATCTAATGGAATAGACCAAGTGGGGAATCCAGCAATGCCTGTTTGTTCAGATTCTTCTTTGTCTCTCTGTGTGGCATTTATTCCTCCCAGTTAGAAAGTAGGACTCCTTTTGGAATGAGAGTTTTATGACCTACCATCAGACAAGGTAGGCCAGATTATTTCTTTATGGCCAGCTTCTACACAGAAAGGTGGGAGAAAGTTAGAATGATATTTGTAGCTTCTATGACCTGCACTGCAGAAAAAGAATTCTAGTTTCTGTGGCATACCTTTGAGGAGAAAGGGAAGCGGAAGAAAGCAGAGCAGGAGGTCAGAAAGACAATGCTTCTGAGGCCCTTAGAATGTTCAAACCCTCAGAATATTCAGCATGCCAAAGCACCATATTTTGGAATACTGACTTATGAGTCCCAATAATACACTGCATGGGCAGAAAGGACTAGGAAGCTCCCTGGGAGGCCTTTTATAAGAGCACTACTCTCATTAATGAACACCCTGCCTTCATGACATTATCACCTCCCAAAGGCCCAATCTCCAATACCATTACATTAGGGATTAGGTTTCATCATAAGAATTTTGGAGAGCACACAAACATTAAATATATAGCACCACTGATTGCAAAAGTGTGTTTGTAATCAATATTAATTTTAGGAATGATATGTCAATGGAGTTTCTACCAAGCATCATAAATTACCAAAGTTATAATTTTTTGCGTGTATGAAAGCAGTTTTTAATTTGAATTTGATCTTCAGTTTTATAACTAGAAACATGCAGTATTCTTGTGAATGTGTCATATTTCGGAAATAATCCTGGTACTCCAAGGTTGCTACAGAAAGAAGATAAAATAATATTTAAAAAATTAATTCACTGAATTTCACCCTGGTGAGAAAACTTTTGTTATTTATTGTCAGTCATTGTTGATTTCATTTGCCGATATAATTTTTGAATAACTGATGGTTTTAGAGTATGTCTCTGATATGCACTATCTGGTGTCATCTATTGGCTGGACTTTTTTGGATCTCCTTCTTGCCTCTTATTTTAGTACTGAGACACCGCTAGACTTCCTCTAAGCATGCAATATCAGACCCATACACTTACTTGAATATAGATAGAGTTTATTATTCCCAGGTTCCAAGACCTCTCTTTACTATCATTGAAATGGTTGTGATCCTCATGTGCAAATTAGCTACTTTCAAATTTAATGAAGTTTCATTTGTAAATATTTACATTATAGTTTTATAATAACATTATTTTATTATTAATATATAATTTCTCAGTGTTTTTTCTTGAAACTCTAGATATATGATGCCCATTTCTACATTCTGGGAAACATTTAATAGTAAAGCCTAGGGCTGGGCGTGGTGGTTCACGCCTATAATCCCACCACTTTGGGAGACTGAGGCAGGTGGATCACCTGGGGTCAGGAGTTTGAGACCAGCCTGGCCAACATGGTGAAATGCCATCTCTACTAAAAATAGAAAAAAAATTAGCCAGGGGTGATGGTGGATGCTTGTAATTCCAGCTACTCAGGACCTTGAGGCAGGAGAGTCACTTGAACCCAGGAGGTGGAGGTTGCAGTGAGCTGAGATAGCGCCACTGCATGCCAGTCTGAGCAACAAGAGTGAAATTCCGTCTGGAAAAAAAAACAAAAAAACAAACAAAAAAACACTAAACTATTTAATTTAGAGACATGCTTTTGAGACAAGAAATTGAGAAGAAAAGCAAGTCTCAAATGAGCAATAAATAGTTTCACAGTGGTGGATTTCTGTAGATTCAATAGATTGAAGTTGTTTGAAACTAATACATTTTAGCATATTATTATTTGGAAGAAATATGTGAGAGGAGTAGAATAAGATAACATAATTGAAAACACATCCACAAATGCATAAAAAATAAGAAAAGCATACCCATAATTGTTATATCATTATTTGTATAATTTGTCACATGACTGTAGCTGGTATGTATAACTTCCTTCTTCCACTATCAATTTCTTTTTCCCTTTGTGTCTAGAAAGTATTAGTCTAGGTTCTTTTGGTGGGGTGACCCAAAGATACATTTCTAAAACATCTGGACCATTGGCAATCTGTCTTGTGTTGGGGAGTTCCAGTTATATATTGACTTTCATCACATGGCCTGAGGTCTTTAGGCAGTACTGCAAGGCATTTCCTCAACACGTTACATTCTTCTTATCCCTATCATACAGGAGCAATCAGAACCAATCAGCCCAACTGTTCAGACACTTTCTAATCTGCTTGATGATTTGTTGGCTTGGGGAACCCAAAGTAGTCAGAGGACAGACTCAGTGGAAAGATATTGGTATCCCATATTGGAAGTATTTTTTCCTTGAGAAATAAAGCCTCTAGGCTAGGAAAGCCTAAAATTATGGTTATGGAAAAGAGAAATGTATTTCTTTCTTAGAGCTCTGGAAGTAGCAGTGAGCAGAAATACTCTCTATTTTTAGATTAGCATTTCCATTTTCAGATTCCCGGACCCATTAACTCTGGCTGTGAAACAACAAACAAACAACAACAAAAATCCCAGCACCATCTATTTGTCATTTATTTAACGATCACAACCTAGAATATAGTAGTTCAGAAAGGTGTTGCCAGTCCGCTGGTGCTAAAATTTAAATTTCTAAAGGCCACTCTACCATATATCAGGCCATATACTTCATTTTGATTGTGTGATGGTTGATTTTACGTGTTAAACTTGCTGGGCCACAGAGTTCCAAGCTATTTGTTTAAACGTTATTCTGGGTGTGTCTGTAAGAGTGTTTCTGGATGAGATGACATTTGATTTAGCAGACTGAAAAAAGCAGATTGTCCTCCCCATTGTGGATGTGCCTCATCTAATCTGTGGAGGAGCTGAGTAGAATTAAAAGGCTGAGTAAAAACAAATGTATTCCCTCTGCCTGACTGTCTTTGGGCTGGAACATCAGGCTTCTTCTGCCTTTGGACTCAGACTTGAACTGAAACTTACCCCAATTTGCTCTCTTGGTTCTGAGGCCTTCAGGCTTGAATTGGAAGGACACCATTGGCTCCTCTGAATCTGAAGCTTACTGACTGCAGATCTTCGGACTTTTCAGCCTCCATAATATTAATATCTTGTAAACCAATTCCTTAATTTAAATCTCTCTCTCTCTCCCTCCATTTCTCTTTCTCTCTGTTTCTTTCTCTCTCTCTCTCCACACACACACACACACACACACACACACACAATACTATTTGTTGTTTTTCTCTGGAGAAGCCTAATACAGATTAGAAACACAGTAAAGCCTGTGAATTCCAAAAGAATAATTACTTCAACATGATTCATTTGCTCCAACAAGAATTACTTCTTCAGAAGCAAGCATGATGGTGAATAAGCCATTCTGTACATCTACAAATATTTGTTTCTGTAGAAATACTGTCATTAGAAAAGGAAAACCGACATACAGATGAAATTATCTATTCCAGTGTGATTTACTTTGATCTACACAAAATACTACAACTTTCATGGTGGAAATAATCTGATGTTCCCATAATGTTTCCATCAGTCAGCTACCCCATGTCCAACTGATCTCTCTGATGCCATAGCTGGAACTCAGTGTTAATTTCTGCCAACTCAGCAGGGGTTGTAACCATAAAAGCCTTGAAAAATTGGTTTGGTCAGCACATGGAAAATCTCCATTCTTGCCACCATTGACACTTCATTTACATACAACTTGAAAAAAAAAACTGGTAGCTGGGGTAAAAAAGCATGCTGGTAAAGTATAGACATATTTCCCTATGTTTTTCACTTGCTTATTAAAACACAAACAAAAAGATCTGGGGTCCTGTGTAACATCTGTAGTTATTCTTTGTCTAGCTTTATAAAGTTTCTCAACATGCCGTCATAGCTCAATATTCTGCCAGAGTCAAGATTTCTGAAGCTGTTTACCTGCAGTGCTTCCTCTTCTCTACTCTTTTCACAAATTCCAGTGTCACAGCTTCCTTGAACTTTGGTCACCACCCTAATAGTGTAGTAGTGTGTTTTTAAAAATGCTCATTGGCACAAAAGTTGGGGAAAGATAGTGCTCACTTTGTTTCCTTTATGCAAAGAATTAAAGCCTACTGTAGGTAAAGCGCACACACGTATATATTAAACTAATATATATGTAAAATATATCATATATTTTCAAGGTCTATATATGCTGTATTTCTCTCATTCTGTGTATACATACACACGTCTCATACATGTGCCATATATTGTACCTAGAAGAAGTCTCAAGCATCATAATTTCACACATTTTTTAATTGCCAAAAGCATGTGCATCAAGCATTTTTACAGTGGTAAAGATGGTTAATTTTATGCTGTATTAAGTAAACAACTGCATTTATTTCCCTTTATAAAGAGGTACAGATTATGTCAAAAGCTGTAAGTTATTTTTTATTTTTTTGAAACCCAACACAATCCATTAAAACCCTACATATTTGAAAACTAACTCATTTTATAAGGTGAGCATCATCCTGATACCAAAGCCTGACAGAAACCCAATAAAAAAAGAGAATTTTAGACCAATATCCGTGATGAACATCGATGCAAAAATCTTCAATAAAATACTGGCAAACCGAATCCAGCAGCACTTCAAAAAGCTTATCCACCACGATCAAGTTGGCTTTATCCCTGGGATGCAAGGCTGGTTCAACATATGCAAATCAATAAACATAATCAATCATATAAACAGAACCAAAGACAAAACCATATGATTATCTCAATAGATGCAGAAAAGGCCTTCGATAAACTTCAACAGCCCTTCGTGCTAAAAATTCTTAATAAACTAGGTATTGATGGGGCGTATCTCAAAATAGTAAGAACTATTTATGACACACCCACAGCCAATATCATACTGAATGGGCAAAAACTGGAAGCATTCCCTTTGAAAGCTGGCACAAGACAGGGATGACCTCTCTCACCACTCCTATTCAACATAGTGTTAGAAGTTCTGGCCAGGGCAGTCAGGCAGGAGAAAGAAATAAAGGGTATTTAATTAGGAAAAGAGGAAGTCAAATTGTCCCTGTTTGCAGATGACATGACTGTATATTTAGAAAACCCCATCGTCTCAGCCCAAAATCTCCTTAAGCTGATAAGCGAATTCAGCAAAGTCTCAGGATACAAAATCAATGTGCAAAAATCACAAGCATTCCTATACACCAATAACAGACAAACAGAGAGCCAAATCATGAGTGAAATCCCATTCACAATTTCTTCAAAGGGAATAAAATACCTAGGAATCCAACTTACAAGGGATGTGAAGGACCTCTTCAAGGAGAACTACAAACCACTGCTCAATGAAATTAAAGAGGACACAAACAAATGGAAAGACATTCCATGCTCATGGGTAGGAAGAATCAATATCGTGAAAATGACCCTACTGCCCAAGGTAATTTATAGATTCAATGCCATCCCCATCAAGCTACCAATGACTTTCTTCACAGAATTGGAAAAAACTACTTTAAAGTTCATATGGAACCAAAAAAGAGCCCGCATCGCCAAGACAATCCTAAGCCAAAAGAACAAAGCTGGAGGCATCACGCTACCTGACTTCAAACTATACTACATGGCTATAGTAACCAAAACAGCATGGTACTGGTACCAAAACAGAGATATAGACCAATGGAACAGAACAGAGCCTCAGAAATAATACCATACATATACAATCATTTGACCTTTGACAAACCTGAGAAAAACAAGCAATGGGAAAAAGATTCCCTATTTAATAAATGGTGCTGGGAAAACTGGCTAGACATATGTAGAAAGCTGAAACTGGATCCCTTCCTTACACCTTATATAAAAATTAATTCAAGATGGATAAAGACTTAAATGTTAAACCTACAACCATAAAAACCCTAGAAAAAACCATAAAAACCATAAAAACCATAAAACCTAGGCAATACCATGCAGGACACAGGCATGGGCAAGGACTTCATGACTAAAACACCAAAAGCAATGGCAACAAAAGCCAAAATAGACAAGTGGGATCTAATTAAACTAAAGATCTTCTGCACAGTAAAAGAAACTACCATCAGAGTGAACAGGCAACCTACAGAATGAGAGAAAATTTTTGCAATCTACCCATCTGACAAAGGATTAATATCCAAAATCTACTAAGAACTTAAACAAATTTACAAGAAAAAAACAACCTCATCAAAAAGTGGGTGAAGGATATGAACAGACACTTCTCAAAAGAAGACATTTATGCAGCCAACACACACATGAAACAATGCTCATCATCACTGGCCATCAGAGAAATGCAAATCAAACCACAATGAGACACCATCTCACATCAGTTAGAATGGTGATCATTAAAAAGTTAGGAAACAACAGGTGCTGGAGAGGATGTGGAGAAATAGGAACACTTTTACACTGTTGGTGGGACTGTAAACTAGTTCAACCATTGTGGAAGACAGTGTGGCGATTCCTCAAGGATCTAGAACTAGAAATACCATTTGACCCAGCCATCCCATTACTGGGTATATACCCAAAGGATTATAAATCATGCTACTATAAAGACACATGCACACGTATGTTTATTGTGGCACTATTCACAATAGCAAAGACTTGGAATCAACCCAAATGTCCATCAATGATAGACTCGATTAAGAAAATGTGGCACATATACACCATGGAATACTATGCAGCCATAAAAAAGGATGACTTCATGTCCTTTGTAGGAACATGGATGAAGCTGGAAACCATCATTCTGTGCAAACTATCGCAAGGACAGAAAACCAAACACCACATATTCTCACTCATAGGTGGGAACTGAACAATGAGAACACTTGGACACAAGGTGGGGAACATGACACACTGGGGCCTGCCGTGGGGTGGGGGGAGGGGGGAGGGATAGCATTAGGAGAAGTACCTAATGTAAATGACGAGTTAATGGGTGCAGCACACTAACATGGCACATGTATACATATGTAACAAACCTGCACATTGTGCACATGTACCCTATAACTTAAAGTATAATAATAATAATAAAAAGAAAACTTTTCTTCAGAGTATACTACAGGAAGACAATATTACCATGTTTAACACTAATTGCATGTTACAAAATAAACAATCCGTTATAGTAAAGCTGAAGCAGAGATTGACTTTGATTTTTAGTGAGCATTCACATGGGATACAAATATACCTCATTGTCACCAGTTTCCCAATTATCTTCCTTCGATCTCTCTATCTGGAAGAAACCTATGCACTATGAAACAATGCAGATTTGCTCCTTTTGCCATCTCTGTTTCCTGGAAAAATTAATTACCAGGTGAACATTTTAAAGTTCTTTCCATTGAGATGCTTTTCTTTAACCGCTGTCTTTTAATGTGATGCAGGAAAAGAGCTGCAATAGGACCATGCATGTACAATACTTAAATAATTTTCTTCTTCAGTCACTGGTTACAGGGAAATTAATATGAAGCCGTAAGTCTGGACTGAGAGAAAAAAAAGGCAACTTAGCCACATTAGGGGCCATGACACATGGATTCATTTGCTTGTACAACTTACTTGTGCATTCACATCCTGCTTGAGGCCAATTTTTGTATACATTGCTTACATTTGATGATGGAACACTGCTATGCTTAGTGGGTCAGGCAACGCTTAGTCTACTTTTGGTGGTTCTGATTACACAATAGCTTGCCAGGCTATGGTCAAGAATTCAGTCTCTATTAGAACTTAGTAATAAGCCAAAAGATTTCCTCCAGGTTCCATAGTCTTCCTTCAGAATTTTCAAAAGACTACATTATAATTCACCTATAGGGACTTACAGAGGAAAAGTTAATGCAGTGTGACTTCATGATCTGGCATTATCTGAAATATATATGATTGTAATGATAAATTACAATGTAGTTAGTATCCTATTGTACAAGCAATAGAGTACATTGAAAGCAAAATGTAGAAAAAAATACTGTTTTTATCATCCTACTAAAGAAATAAATATACCTTGTGTTTTTAACTGCAACCTAAGTATATTTAATATAATCATATTACAAAAACAGATAAATTTGTAAAAAAAAGAAAAAAACAGAAGTTTCTCTGAAATAAATGAAAAAGTTGAGGTTATCTGGACAACCTCTCTGACACTTTCTGTTAAAAGGTTGTTAGGCAAACTTTAGCAGTAGTGCACCCAGCAATTGAAAAATGTATTTTTGATGCATAAAGTTGTCTTGGTACAAGTGGTAAGGGTAAAGTTGTTTAAAAGGCCTGTCATTCTCCAGTGTGTATATATATATAAAATATATATATATTTCTACTTTTTATAATGTGTTATATATGACAAAATATCCTATATATTTCTATTAATATAGTCACTAGACAATGTGTCATATTTCTTCTGATGCCACTTCTCTCAGTCAGTCAATTTTTGTTGCTATAAAGAAACATCAGAGTCTGGGTATTTATAAAGAAAAAAGGTTTATCTGGCTCATGGTTCTGTGGGCCATACAAGAAACATGTTGCCAGCATCTGCATCTAGTGAGGGCCTCAAGAATCTTCCACACCATGGTAAAAGGTGAAAAGAAGCAGGTATTATATGGTGAGGGAGAGAAGCAGCAAGAGAGAGACACTAGGCCGTTTCTAATTAATAAAGTAAGAACTCACTCATTATGCAGATGGCACAAAGCGTTTTACGAGGAATCTGCACTTATGATCTGAACACCTCTCACCAGGCCCTACCTTCAATATTGGGGATCAAATTTTAACATAAAATATGGTGGGGACAAATATCCAAACTATCACCACTTAAATGTTTTTGACTACCAGAGTTTATGAACCAAAAATTATAGAGAATATGGTTAATGTTTTCTTCCTCTACAGAAGCTATTTTTTTTCTTCTGATGAATAAATAGAGTTAACTGTGGTCTTTTGGAAACAGATTGATTTTAAGTTTGCTTCTATTCCTAGGGTATAGCACTGTCTCATAGGGCGTGGTCTATTTCCTAAATCCTGTTTGCATCATATTTAAGAATGTTTGCCTATTTACAGTCATGAAGATATCATTGTATAATTTCTTCCAAAATATGTATTTTTTTCACATTGAGATCTGTGATTCATCCATTAATTTTATTTTTAATATGAGAGAAGAAATATATTTTTATATATATTACTGAATTGACCTAACACAATCTTTTTGAAAATAATGCTCTTGGATGGGCTGGCAAGATGGCTGAATAGGAGTCTGCAGCTCCCAGCGAGACCAACGCAGAAGGCAGGTGATTTCTGCATTTCCAACTGAGGTACCTGGTTCATCTCATCGGGACTGGTTAGACAGTGGGTGCAGTCAACTGACAGTGAGCAGAAGCAGGGTGGGGCATTGCCTTACCCGGGAAGTGCAAGGGGTCGGGCAACTCCCTCCCCCAGCCAAGAGAAGCCGTGAGGAACTGTACCATGAGGGATGGTGCTATCCAGCCCAGATACTACACTTTCCCCATGGTTTTCCTATCCTAAATATATATGCACACAATACAAGAGCACTTAGATTCATAAAGCAAGTTCTGATTTTGATGAGAGAGCTACAAAGAGACTTAGACTCCTACATGATAATAGTGGGAGACTTTAACATCCCACTGTCAATATTAGATGGATCAACAAGACAGAAAATTAACGAGGGTATTCAGGACTTGAACTCAGCTCTGGACCAAGGCGACCTATGAGACATCTACAGAAATCTCCACCCCAAATCAACAGGATATACATTCTTCTCAGCACCATATTGTACTTATTCTAAAATTGACCACATACTTGGAAATAAAACACTCCTCAGCAAATGCAAAGGAATGAAAATCATAACAAAGTGTCTCTCAGACCACAGTGCAATCAAATTAGAACTCAGGATTAAGAAAACCACTCAAAACTGCACAACCACATGGAAACTGAACAACATGCTCCTGAATGACAACTGGGTTAAAAAGAAAATTAAGGCAGAAATAAATAAGTTCTGTGAAACTAATGAGAACAAAGACACAATGTACCAGAATCTCTGGGGCACAGCTAAAGCAGTGTTTAGAGGGAAATTTATAGCACTAAATGCCTGCAGGAGAAAGCAGGAAAGATCTAAAATTGACACCCTAACATCACACTTAAAAGAACTGCAGAAGCAAGAGCAAACAAATTCAAAAGCTAGCAGAAGACATAACTAAGATCAGAGCAGAACTGAAGGAGGAAGACACATGAAAAACCCTCTAAAATATCAATGAAACCAGGAGCTGTTTTTTTTTTGAAAAGATTAACAAAATAGGTAGACTGCTAGCCAGACTAAAAAACAACAAAAGAGAGAATAATCAAATGGACACAATAAAAAATCATAAAGGGGATATCATCACCACTGATCCCACAGTAATACAAACTAGCATCACAGAATACTATAGACATCTCTAAGCAAATAAACTAGAAACGTAGAAGAAATGGCTAAATTCCTAGATACATACACACTCACACGACTAAACCAGGAAGAAGTTGAATCCTTGAATAGGCCAATTACAAGTTCTGAAATTGAGGCAGTAATAGCCTACCAACGAAGAAAAGCCCAGGACCAGACAGATTCACAGCCGAATTCTACCAGAGGTACAAAGAGGAGCTGGTACCATTCCTTCTGAAATGATTCCAAACAATAGAAAAAGAGGGACTCATGCTTAACTCACTTTATGAGGCCAGCATTATCCTGATAACAAAACCTGGCAGAGGCACAATAAAAAAAAAGAAAATTTCAGGCCACTATCCCTGATGAACATTGATGCAAAAATCCTCAATAAAATACTGGCAAACCGAATCAAACAGCACATTAAAAAGCTTATCCACCACGATCAAGTCGTCTTCATCCCTGGGACGCAAGGCTGGTTTAACATATGCAAATCAATAAATGTAATCCATCACATAAACAGAACCAATGGCAAAAACCACATGATCATCTCAATAGATGCTGAAAAGGACTTTGATAAAATTCAGCACCACTTCTTGTTAAAAACACTCAATAAACTAGGTACTGATGGAGCATATCTCAAAATAATAATAGCTATTTATGAAAAACCCACAGCCAATATCTTACTGAATGGGCAAAAGCTGGAAGCATTCCCTTTGAAAACCGGCACAAGACAAGGGTGTCCTCTCTCACCACTCCTATTCAACATAGTATTGAAAGTTCTGGCCAGGGCAGTCAGGCAAGATAAATAAACAAAGCATATTCAAATAGAAAGAGAGGAAGTCAAATTGTCTGTTTTCAGATGACATGATTGTATATTTAGAAAACCCTATCATCTGAGCCCAAAAACTACTTAAGCTGATAAGCAACTTTAACAAAGTCTCAGGATACAAAATCAATGTGCAAAAATCACAAGCATTCCTATACATCAATAGTAGACAAATAAAAGCCAAATCATGAGTGAACTTCCATTCACAATTGCTACAAAGAAAATAAAATACCTAGGAATACAACTTAAAAGAGATGTGAAGGACCTGTTCAAGGAGAACTATGAACCACTGCTCGAGGAAATAAGAGTGAGCACGAACAAATGGAAAAAAATTCCATGCTCATGAATAGGAAGAATCAATATCTTAACAATGGCCATACTACCCTAAGTAATTTATAGATTCAATGCTATTCCCATCAACCTACCATTGACTTTCTTCACAGAATTAGAAAAAACTACTTTACATTTCATATAGAACAAAAAAAGAGACTGTATAGCCAAGATAATCCTAAGCAAACAGAGCAAAGCTGGAGGCATCATGCTACCTGACTTCAAGCTATACTACAAGGTTACAGTAACAAAAACAGCATGGTTCTGGTACCAAAACAGAGATATAGACAAATGAAACAGAATAGAGGCCTCAGAAATAACGCCACACATCTACAACCATCTGATCTTTGACAAACCTGACGAAAGCAAGCAATGGGGAAAGGATTCCCTATTTAATAAATGGTGTTGGGAAAACTGGCTAGCCATATGGAGAAAACTGAAACTGGACCCCTTCCTTACACCTTATACAAAAATTAACTGAAGATGGATTAAAGGCTTAAACATAAGAGTTAAAACCATAAAAACCCTAGAAGAAAACCTAGGCAATACCATACAGGACATAGGAATGGGCAGAGACTTCATGACTAAAACATCAAACAATTGCGACAAAAGCCAAAATTGACAAATGGGACCTAATTAAACTAAAGAGCTGCACAGCAAAAGAAACTATAATCAGAATTAACAGGCAACCTACAGAATGGTAGAAAATTTTTTCACACTATTCATCTGACAAAGGGCTAATATCCAGAATCTACAAGGAACTTAAACAAATTTACAAGAAAAAAACAAACACCACCATCAAAATTGGGCAAAGGATATGAACAGACACTTCTCAAAAGGAAACATTTATTCAGCCAATAAAAATATGAAAAAAGCTTATCATCACCAGTCATTAGAGAAATGCAAATCAAAACCACAATGAGATATCATCTCATGTCAGTTAGAATGGCAATCATTAAAAAGTCAGGAAACAACAGATGCTGGAGAGGATGTGGAGAAATAGGAACACTTTTGCACTGTTGGTGGGAGTGTGAATTAGTTCAACCATTGTGGAACACAGTACGGCAATTCCTCGATAATCTAGAACCAGAAATATCATTTGACCCAGCAATCCCATTACTGGGTATATACCCAAAGGATTGTAAATCATGCTACTATAAGGACACATGCACACGTATGTTTATTGCAGCATTATTCGCAACAGCAAATACTTGGAACCAACCCAAATGCCCATCAATGATAGACTGGATAAAGAAAATGTGGTACATATACCCTAGGGAATGCTATGCAGCCATAAAAAAAGAATGAATTCACACCCTTTGAAGGGAAATGGATGAAGCGGGAAACCATCATTTTCAGCAAACTAACACAGAAGCAGAAAACCAAACACCACATGTTCTCATTCATAAGTGAGAGTTGAACAATGAGAACACATGGACACAGGGAGGGGAACATCACACACCAGGGTCTGTTGAGGGGTTAGGGCTAGGGGAGGGATAGCATTAAGAGAAATACCTAATGTAGATGACGAGTTGATAGGTGCAGCAAACCACCATGGCACATGTATCCTATGTAACAAACTGTAACGTTATGCACATGTAATCCAGAAATTAAAGTATAATAAATAAATAAATAAAAGGAATGCTCTTACCTGTTGCACTGTAGTGTCCACTTTGCCATAAATCAGATTACCATGTATGTCAATTTCTTCCTTGATGAAATTAAAATCATGGCTGTTTAGCTGATCCTTTTTTCTACCTTTTCTTTTGCATATACCATTGATTATTAAGGAAATAAAAATCCACACAATTATTTCCCAAAAGCCATCCCTTTGGGTCTCAATCATCAAAACTAGGTAGAAATTCTGATGCCTGATAAGGAGATAGAGCACAACATAATTCAAAAGATTATGTTGGAAGATGTCACAGTCCATAAGAACGCAGGAACAAAGTGTATACCTGCATTAAGATTTACCAGAAAAGACATAATGTGAGTGGAAACTGCTACTCTGGCAGACAAAGGATAAAACATCCAGTGTCTTATCTAATTATCACAAGTTAAAAGCTTTGGAGCCATTTATACCAATATGACAGCTGAGAAAACTAAGGAACAAAGAGGATAAGTAACTTGCTCAAAGAAATATGGTTTAGAAGTTAGAGAATAGAGATTTGACCCATGAGTCACAAACTGAGAGACATGTTATCTTCTTTATCCAATTAGCTCTCTTCAAGATGAACTTTAGTTTCTTAATAAATTAGAGTTCCACTACTACTTTTTTTTTTAAGTGCAATCTTAGCAAAGTCATTTAATACTTGAGTACATCACACTACAGTGTTACATGGGGAAAAAGAAACTTGATTTTTTTTCTGATTCTTTTATGCAAATAAGTTGGGTCTCAATGTAAGATGATTTTTTTAAAATGCCCTTTTTAAACATAGCATGCTTGGCATACATTATCATGAACATTAATATTTTTGTACCTTTAAATTCTTACATTCAAGAATTAACTATGTTATCCTGAGACGGTTGACTCTGACTTACTATAAGAGAAGTTATTATGTTGTCTTTTCTAAATCATGTAATTATTAATGTCTCCTAAACTTCCATAGTCTTTTTGCACTTACTTTACACTATTGGCTCATAATCAAGCTATAGCCAATCCACATGTCTAAATAGCTGCAAGCATTATTTTGCAGGATTGTATCTTTACCTCAGTTGTATTTATTTAATTGTTTTAATTCTTTTGATCTAGTATCTAAAGATATTTTAAAATGTTGATTTTACATTATGTTATGTTTTTGTCATTCAAGGCAATGACAATAAATATTATTGTTGCATTTTTACTTTGTAATGTATTCAAATATTTAATATGAGACAAATAATAGAACATTGGATTATACTTCAGTAATTTGCAAGTTAGTATCATTTCATAAAAGAAAATGGCATCAAGAAGCTTATTGTAGGCCGGGAGCCGAGGCTCATGCCTATAATCCCAGCACTTTGGTAGGCCGAGGCGGGCAGATCACGAGGTCAGGGGATCGAGACCACCTGGCTAACACGATGAAACCCTGTCTCTACTAAAAATACAAAAAAATTAGCTGGGCGTGGTGGCGGGCGCCTGTAGTCCCAGCTACACGGGAGGCTGAGGCAGGAGAATGGCATGAACCCCAGAGGCGGAGGTTGCAGTGAGCCGAGATCGCGCCACTGCACTTCCAGCCTGGGCGACAGAGCGAGACTCTATCTCAAAAAAAAAAAAAAAGAAAAAAAAAGAAAAGCAAAAAGAAAAAGAAGCTTATTGTAAGTTAGTTTTCTAATTTCCAATTTCCTTCTTTTCTTTTTGTCTCATTCAATTTTTCTGAGTATTATACCAACCCTTAAGGATCTCTCTCCTTTACAGACTACTAGAAGTATCATCACATCTCCATTCTTTGCAATTACTGAGACCATGACACTATTTTTTTGTAAGTATATTTTCAAGTGTTTTCAGGATATTACACTAAAATTAGTATGGTTATGACATCATCATCACCTTTAAATTCCCCTTTTTCAATTTTCTAATGTGTCTTGGTCATCATATTGTTGAAGTCAAAATATAGAGTTGAATCTCTAAGTTAAAGCTTCTAACTGGGAATCACAGAATTGCGATTCAGAGGACAAACGCAGACCAATGTGGTCTTCAGTATATCAGAAAAACAATAATGAATTAAGGTTAGTTTCTGGGAAAAGTAGTGGGTGTATGAGGGTGAGGTAGGAATGGTTAATGCATACAGAAAAAAATAGAAAGAATAAGACCTACTATTTGAAGGCACAATAGGGTGACTATAGTCAATAATAACTTAATTGTACATTTTAAAATAAAGAGTGTAATTGGATTGTTTGTAACTCAAAGGATAAATGCTTGAGGGGATAGATACCCCATTCCCCATGAAGTGCTTATTTCACATTGTATCCCTGTTTGAAAGCATCTGAGGTAGCCCATAAATGTAAACACCTAATATGTAACCACAAAAAATTTTCTAAAGTTAGTGGTTTCATTAGAAAAAGAAATGTTACACATTGTTTTGAATGAAAGCTCATTGGCATTAGAATATCTTTAAAGAGATGTCAAGCTCTGATTGGTGACTTACAGTGGTAGGTAAAACCAGTCGTAGAGTCCCAACATGTTTCAGCAGCTACCAGGTACACCCGATCTTGGAGTTATAGTAGCCTATTTCAACAGCTGAAAAAATTAATTATTGGATCATTTACTATCTTCCCTGAATGCTTTTTCTCCCTGGCTCCTTGGCTCTTAGTTGGGTATAACACAAATGACACAATTTGTAAAATTAACTATCATAATATCAGTATTAACTTTATTTACTTAAAACTTTCTATTTTCAAATGATTACTTAGATTAAAAATATAAAATTAAAATCAATCTTAGTAGTTCTATTTTCTGTATACCATATTTTAATATAATTCTATAACTTGTGACTAATAACTTATTTAACATAAACTCACTTGTAAATCTATAAATCTATATATGTTTGGCATTAGTATATTATTTTCCTATTATTGCATTAACTAATAATATGTAGTTTATGTATTTTTCTTTATATAAGAAAACATATTTAAGTTGAAATTAGTTGCTTCTAGTATAAAATTCATACTATTGTATCAAAATTATAGTCTTCAATAGAAAAAGCATACATTTTCATTGAATAAAAACAAAAAAGGCATATAAGATGAAGTGCATGAATCCTAAAAGACTTAAGTTGATAATGTCACTGGTTGCTAAACACAATTAATAAGAAAACTCTAATATGATATATTAAAATTTTACAATGCCAAGGATAAAGAGAAATTCCAATATGTATAGAAAAAGAAACAAGTCAACTCCAAAGAATGCCTATAAGACTGAATTCTGACATTTGGGAGACATTAACATCCCTGGGTGCTGAAGGATAATAGAGCAATACTTTCAGCATTATAAATTTTTTTCACCTCAAATTTTTTTAGAAGACAAATTATCAGTTTGACTTCGGAATTAAAATATTTTAACACATTCAAAAATAAGTTTTATTAGTTAGTTTATGGATATAACTCAACTAAAAAGTTACCTGAAAACTAGCAGTTGTTCAACAAGTACATATGAAGCTTCTGGGTCTTCAGCTTAGCTAAGTAGACTCTGCTCCAGATTACCTGACTGAATTATTTGAGGCAGATTGGCTCTACATGTCTAATTCAGGAGCTCTGTTGGAGGGTCAGTAGTTGCCATGGGAATCTTCTTTAGATGGTAAAGATTGAAAGCTCCTCTGATCTAAGTAGAGATACAGAACACTGTTTAGGGCCCATGCTCAAAAATTATACTTTCATTTTCAGTCACATGTTATCAGCCAAAACAAGTCAAATGGTCATGCCCAACATTAGTGGGATGGTGAAGTAGAAGTTTTCTATGAGGTCTTTTAGCATTGGTATATTATTTTCCTATTATTGTATTAACTAAAAACATGTTTACTTGTTTCTTCTCCTGTAAGAAAAAAAATGCAACGATTTAAATAGAAATTAGTTTTACTTTTTTAGTACAAACCTCACGATATATTATTAAAACAAACAAAACAGTGAAAGAAAAAATTAGATATGGACAAAATAATTTTCCACAAAGGTTTTACCTTCAGTGCCTTGTTTCTGCTTGAAGAAGTGGTGCAGCAAAACACGACTGTGAACCAAAATTATAAATGTCCTCAGCAGATACAAGCCGGGAGAAAAGTGAAAGGAATGCCAACACTCCTTGTGTAGAACATAGACATTGAACCATCCACATTGAGGTAAGAGGATAGAGAACTTCAGGAAAAGGAGAACTTGATCAAGTACATTTTTCTGAGATTTCAAGCAATGAAAAATATGATATGCAAACACCGCACAAAAAAAATTAAAATGGCAGAAAAACAAATGAAATGCTATATAAAAAGCCTTAGTTTTAAATATAAGGCAAAATTATATATACATTATATATACATATTATATATATAAAACATGTATACATATACATTATATACATATATATATAAAAGATGTGTGTGTATAATTTTAATTCAATTTGACTTGACATCATTAAGGCATACTCTTTAAATAAAGCAAATATTTTTATCTTCTACTATGGAGGCCAAATGTAATACTTCATTATTATTTGCATTTTTATTTGATAATATTGTAGCAGAGGCAAAACTATAACTTCTGCCCTCTTAGGGTTTTTCACGTGAGCCTGAATATTAAATCGATATAAGACTGATCTACAGGATAAATGCATATGAATTTATTTATTTAATACAAATTTTGTGACACAAAAGCCTTCATAAGGAAATGAAGACTTAAATACACAGAGTTGGACAGTATATACTGAATTGAATTAAGAGTAGTAAATTATGAAAAAGTGACAAGGCAGAGGACCTTGAGCTACAGTTTGGAATACTGCATTGAAGAAGGAAAGATACAGGAAATCTGAATAACACTTCTTTTCATAATATGATTTTTTTAAAAGAAGAAGATATTATACTCAGATCACATTGACTGTGAAAAAGTAAAATAACTACTTATATTAAAACTAAAACTAAAATTGATTTAAAACGTGGTATATGGAAATAATTTTATTATTGTGAGATAAATAATATTTTATTGGAAAAAATACTAATTTTATTATATACAAAAACTGAATTCATGTTAGTAAGCTTAAAATTGTAACTGAGTGGTTAAAACATTTTAAGCATTTTACATTTTGTGTAAAGTTTGTCCTCACAGAAGAAATATCTGTTACAAATATGTCATTAAAAATTACAGAAGAAGAAATTATATAGCCACAATGTTTGTATATGAGCCTTACTTTGGACTCAAGGTATAGAGACCTTTCAAAAATCAAATTACTAATCTACATATTATACACATTTGTCATATCTTATCCAAATTATTTTTCTTTTGAAAGCATTTTCTTCTATCATCCATTTAAGAGTGGAACATAGAATAATAGCACCAAAAACAATAAAATCAACAGTAATTTATTCAGCTCTGGCTGTTTGGTGAGATGAAATATTTTCTGTAAACATTTAAGTAACACTGTAACAATAAATATAACTTTCACATTATTTTTCTGCTTAATAATAGAGTCAGAGAGAAGTTGAAGACTTAGGCCAAAGCAACACAATGTTTTAAGTGACAAACAAGATTCTAATCTATGTCTTTGTTTTTAATCATAGCAGTGCACTTCCCCTAATTAATTTTATCATTTGTTTAGTTATTTTGTTATTCATATTTATTTGTCTGTTTGTTCAGTACCCATAGAATTTCCTAAATGACAGGCAATATGCTAAGCAATGAAAGAATAGGAAATAAAAATAAGGCCTGTAGCTGTTGTTTGGTAATTTAGTCTATTGGGAGACATAAACACAAAAATAATTGCAACATGGACAAAAATAATTAACGCAGAACATTCACCACTTTTCCTTTCACCTCAACATGACTTCTCCCACAAACGTCCCCCCACCCTACACCCTTATGCTGCGTGCATGCACAAGGATGTATTTTCTTAAAAAACGTAATTTATCACTACATTGTCTCTCTCTTTTTTTTCTGCAAAAAAAAAAGGCTAATTATTGACAGAAAAAAAAATAAGTAACTGGCAGAATAGACTATAGTTTCCAAGGAGCAGCAAGGCAAACAAAAAACTGTGTGTGTGTGTGTGTGTGTGTGTGTGTGTGTGTGTGTGTGCGTGTGTGTTTATGAGTATCTGTGTTTATGTTTTTCTGTTTAAAAGTATATATATGTGAGTGTGTGGTGTCTGAGATAGAAATATAAAAAATAGAAATTTAGTAAGAAACATAAATGAAAAATAGAGGGAAGATATTTAACAAATTATAGAGGCTGAATTTTATTGAGAACTTTGAACGAAGACTACAGAAGAATTTTTGAGGGAGCAGCTATGAGTAGGAAAGATTTTGGATGCTTAAATCATAAGTTACTCTCATCAATTCATCAGTTTCTTTTTTTTTTTTAATTATACTTTAAGTTCTAGGGTACGTGTGCACAACGTGCAGGTTTGTTACATATGTATACATGTGCCATGTTGGTGTGCTGCACCCATTAAATCCTCATTTACATTAGGTATATCTCCTAACGCTATCCCTCCCCTCTACCCCCATCCCACGACAGGCCCTGGTGTGTGATGTTCCCCTTCCTGTGTCCAAGTGTTCTCATTGTTCAATTCCCACCTATGAGTGAGAACATGCGGTGTTTGGTTTTTTGTCCTTGAGATAGTTTGCTGAGAATGATGGTTTCCAGCCTCATCCATGTCCCTACAAAGGACATGAAGTCATCCATTTTTATGGCTGCATAGTATTCCATGGTGTACATTTGCCACATTTTCTTAATCCAATCTGTCATTGATGGACATTTGGGTTGGTTCCAAGTCTTTGCTATTGTGAATAGTGCCGCAATAAACATACATGTGCATGTGTCTTTTTCTAGATAAAATGATTACAGTTTTACATCTCAATTATATTTTTTCTCTTATGCTCATGTTTACATGACAGTGCATATTCATTGGGTCTCAAAAGACCTTAATTATACTGCAGTTATATTATTGTAATAAAATATTGTAATTCTGAAGTGAGAGCTATGAACAAATTAAAAAGATACAGTAGAGAAAATTGTTATTGGAAGAATACAAAAGTGTCTGGCACAAAACCTTTCCAAAGTTTCATATACTAGATTGTTCATCTCTTATATGAAATTGCAAAGCCCTTTTTCCTCTTAGAAAAATGTCTCTCTGTTTTAAAAGTCTCATTTCACTTTCTCTTTGTTTATATTAGTTTTGTTACTTTTTTTTCCATTTTAACCTTATTAATTTTATGACTTTTTGTTGTTTTTGTTTTCAAATTTTCCATTTGAGTTTTATCTTCAGTTGGTCAACTATCTTTCCCATGTGTTGTTTCTATTTTTATTGGGATTTCATTGAATGGACAAATTAAGTTAGTGTGAACTGATAATTTAAGATGCTGAATTTTAAATCCATGGCCACTATATTTATTTCTAATTAATTATTCAAATATCATTTATATCCTTTGAACTGTGATAATGCTTCTTTCCTACAAGTGAAACTTCCATATTATTTGATAAAGTTTATTTCTAATAACTTTTTTACATTTATTGATATTTGGAAATAAACTTAGAAAATATATTTCTGACAGGTTTTATAGGATATTTTTCAAGTGTCAAAAACTGGAAGCTAGAAAACTGCTAGGTGCTTATTAAAACCGTCCAGGAGAGAAACAGAGACTGAATGAAAGAGATTATGAGGGGCACAGATAAAAAAGCTAACAAGTAGTCGCTTAGAAGAATGTTGCTAAAGAATTCAGTTTTGTGCATACTACAGAAACTACACTCGAGGAGTGTTCAAAACTATTTTATGAAAGTTTTGGACACTTAACCCAAATAGATTATGAGGAGCACAGATATAAAAGTTAACTAGTAGTCACTTATAGAGAAGGTTGTTCAGTGGTGTGCAAAGAAGTCAGTGTTGTGCATACTATACAGACTACACTCAAGGAGTATTCAAAAACTATTCTTTGCCAGTTTTGGACACTTAACATTGAGGGTAACTTTTCAGCACTTCCAGTGATTCTATGACCTATTCAAAATAATTTCATGTAAGTGCATTTTCAGGTATCTCACCCACATTGTTTCAAGTGACCATGTTTTATCATTTAGATTTTCAGGTCTCTGATCTCCTTGTAGTTTGTTATATACACTCCACTATTCATACATTTGAACTTTATTCATCATTCTTCATCTTTTAGAATAACTTTCCTTGCCTATTCATGTTACTATCTTTAATAGGAAATACCAAGGGAAGTTTTCTCAGATAGGCCTCCCTGTTTCCTGGGCTGAAATCAGTGTCTATATAAGTTTCCCAAAGCACCTTACGCAACTTCTGTCATGAATTAGTCACTGTATTATGTACTTTTATTATGTATTAACTACGCTTCAGTTTTATTTTAGTCATCTCTAGAGTACTATTAATTGAATAAGAGAATTAATATTAAGACACACATAAAATTATAGCTTTTCTATATTCTATAATGTAGAAATAAATTCAGTGATTTTACTTTTAAAATAATGTGTACTAGAATACAAAGGAATTTTGGCAACTTAATATATTTATACAATATAATGTTAAATTTAAAATGTTAATTTTTTCATATATTTTATATCTTTTTGCTTTATAAAACAACATTTCAGAAAAAGTTATTGCTTGCTTTTGTCAATATCCTGTGACATTTTCATTCAAGTATAATAATATTAGAGTTTTATTAGATTTCCACATCAAATAATGATGTCTAAAATATTGAATTTATCAGAATTATCAAAGCTTTTGGAAGTACATAATTTTTGTATGTGTGAATATAGGATATTGCAATACAACCTTACCTCTAAGTTCATATTATATTGTCTTTGTTCTAGGCATCATATATTATAAAATCACCTTTTGACCCATTTTATTAACAGAGGGAAATTAGTTATAACCTTGCTTGTAGTACTTTGATACACATAAATATAAGTTCATATTTGAATCTCCCAGACACAAACACCAATAATTATATTCTAATAAAGAAAGTTAAAAGATACAAAATGCTTCCTGAATAATTTTAAAAAGTTACATACATTTCCCTTCACTTAGTAGGAAATAAAAGCATGCCTATTTAAGCATATTTAGTATATTATAAAGTATTGTATCATAGAAAATTCGATTTTGAAAAATAAATGTGAACTTTCCTCATTATTGCAAAAAAGCTTATCAGTTCATTTACATTACTGTATAATCAATAAATAGTTGTCAGTTTTTCAATTTTTATTTTAAAAACACTTTATATGATATATTATGTGTACATTTTGTCATATATTAAATATTAGAAATGGAAATTTAAAAATTTCCAAAGAATAAATACACATATATATGTATTTATATATGTGTGTGTGTATATATATATGTGTGTGTGTGTGTGTGTGTTTGTGTGTGCATTTGTATATATATGCATAACTACTCTAGAGTATGGATTAAAATACTTCTCTCCATGGAGCATACATGTTTTACATACTTGAGAGCATAACAGATGACCCTTAAAACAAACATAAAACAAATTAGGCCTAACTACTCTCTAAATTCACTATGCTTTATTTTTCCCTGACCTTGAATAGTATAAGCCTTCACATTGCTTTACTTAGTTTCCACCCCATCTTCTTCTTTCAATATTCTTTGAAACCAAGGTCAGACCTGCTATGTCAGTTCCCTATAGAGTAAAAAATGGCTTATGAGAAAGTGCAGAAGCTATTTGGGGTTGAAGATTTAACTTAAAGGGAAACATCTAAAGGCAAAAAAAGTTGGAAAGGCCCAAAGGTTTCATGTGCCACCCTTAAAAGAAAAAAAAAAAAGGAAGGTCATTCAGATACTAAAACTATATATGAGATGATTTCAACATTGATGGAACTACTTTCTGATATTGAATAGGAAAACAATAAGTAATTGCAGTCTTAAGAGAGTTCTTGTTTATTGTGACATCAGAAAGATACTATAAATTTTATAGTACATATCATTTTCACTTATAATATCCCTCATTGCTTTAGTTATTCATGTTGGCATATCAGTTTATTTTAACAGCTTTTATAGAACCTGTGATAAAAATTCAATTTATACACTCTTATGTTTGTTATATGTGAATAAACACAAGAATGGGAAGGAAACCACAGTACTCTTTGCTTCCAGTGGCCAAATCTAAAATAAAACATGTTTGAAATACACACATATACATGCACTCATGCACACACACTTTTATTTGATAGAGTTTTATAGCTGCATAGTTTGTAGGTAAAATTAATAATATGAGAAGAGTAGGAATTGAACATGGATGTCATATAGCAGAGAAATATATATAACTGAATATATGCTTCCTAGAGCTTCAGTTAAAAAGTATGACAAAATGGGAAGCTTAAAACAACATAAATTTCTTTTCACAATTCTGGAGAATAGAAGTTTGAAGTCAAGGTGTCAGCAGGGCCATGCTTTCTTTGCATGCTCTAGAAAAGACTCCCTTCCTTGCCTCTCCCTAGCTTCTGGTCATAAAGGACCGTTCTCAACATCCCTTGGCTAGTAGCTGTTACCCTCCAATTTCTGCCTCTGTCTTCATGTATTACAGCTGTCTTTCCTCTGTGTGTGTCTCTGGGTAAATTTTCTCTCTTCTTATGAAAGCATCAGTCATTGGATTTAAAGCCCAGCCTAATCCAGTTAAGATGAGGTCATGTGCTTGTTTAGATGAGAGTACATTTATGTCCTTTAGGGAATGGTCACACAATAAAGAGTGAAACCCTACTTAGTATCTTACTCTTCAGACTAGTGTTTCTTTCAGTGAATTAGACTTTGCCCAAAGGCACAGAAATATAATTTTTATATAATTACATTTTGTTTTCTTGCTCTTTATTCTTCCATCCTTCATTCCTTTCCTTCCCTCACTAAGCAATTGTCAACTAAAAAAAGTTATGGGAAAGTGATGATAAGTAAAACTGCTTTTGCCTCAAAGAAAGTACAGACACAAAAATTAAAGAGATGCTTACAAATGTTAAGATAGAATGTAAGACTTAAACTGAGCACCATGAGACTGCAGAAAGTGTACCCTAGATGGTGAGATGGAAATATTCCTGCAGTGATAACAGCTGAGTTTAAAAGAAAATGGGTAAAGGAATCAGCATCTGGAAAGACATAAACTTGTGAAATCACATTAAACATTCCAAAAACGATTTAGCCATTGTATAGGAGGTGAAAATATTTTGGGAGGTAAAAATTAGGCAGGTGCCGGATTTGGAAAGACCACATTAATAATGCAAATGTACATTTTTCCTTTACTGTTATTAATCCAACACATTATTGCACCTAAATGAACTGAAAAAAATATAATAATAAATTGTAGGAAGGTATTTGCTAAAAAGTTGGATGTATTTTCACAAGTGTCAATTTTTGTCTAGCTGACCTAATATATTAGCTATGCAAGTCTAACCAAATCAGCTGTTTTTACATATTTTCATCATCACCTAAAAATTTCTTTATTTTTTATTTTTGACTATTCATATTCATTTTCAAAATCCCCAGCTTCTGTCTTTTTAATCAAATTTACATTTATTTTACTTTTTTTTATTACACTTTAAGTTCTGGGATACATGTCCAGAATGTGCAAGTTTGTTACATAGGTATGTATACATGTGCCATGGTGGCTTGCTGAACTATCAACCCGTCACCCACATTAGGTATTTCTCCTAATGCTATCCCTCCCCTTGCTGCCCCAACCCTCGACAGGCTTTGGTGTGTGATATTCACCTCCCTGTGTCCATGGGTTCTCATCATTCAACTCCCTCTTATTAATGAGAACGTGTGGTGTTTTGTGTTCTGTTCCTGTGTTATTTTGCTGAGAATGAAGGTTTCCAGCTTCATCCATTTCCCTGCAAAGAACATGAACTCATTCTTTTTTATGGCTGCATAGTATTCCATGGTGTATATGTGCCACATTTTCTTTATCCAATCTATCATTGATGGGCATTTGGGTTGATTCCAAGTCTTTGCTATTGTGAAAAGTGCTGCAATAAACATACATGTGCATGTGTCTTTATAGTAGAATGATTTACAATGCTTTGGGTATATACCCAATAATGGGTTTCCTGGGTCAAATGCTGTCTCTGGTTCTAGATCATTGAGGACTTGCCACACTGTCTTCCACAATAGTTGAACTAATTTACGGTCCCACCAACAGTTGAGAAGTGTTCCTATTTCTCCACATCCTCTCCAGCATCTGTTGTTTCCTGACTTTTTAATGATCACCATTCTAACTGGAGTGAGATGGTATCTCACTGTGGTTTTGATTTGCATTTCTCTAATGACCAGTGATGATGAGCTTTTTTTCATATGTTTGTCGGCTGCATAAATACCTTGTTTTGAGAAGTGTCTGTTCATATACTTTGCCCACTTTTTGATGGGGATTGTTTGTTTTTTTCTTGTAAAGTTGTTTAAGTTCCTTGTAGATTCTGGTTATTAGCTCTTTGTCAGATGGATAGATTGCAAAAATTTTCTCTCATTCTTTAGACTGCCTGTTCACTCTGATGATAGTTTCTTTGGCTGTGCAGGAGCTCCTTAGTTTAATTAGATCCCATTTGTCAATTTTGGTTTTTGTTGTGATTGCTTTTGGTGTTTTAGTCAGGCAGTATTTGCCCAAGCCTATGTCCTGAATGGTATTGCCTAGGTTTTCTTCTAGGGTTTTCTTTTATGGTTTTAGGTCTTACGTTTAAGTCTTTAATCAATCTTGAGTTAATTTTTGTATAAGGTGTAAGGATGGGGTCCAGTTTCAGTTTTCTGCATATGGCTAGCCAGTTTTCCCAACATCATTTATTAAATAGGGAATCCTTTCCCCATTGCTTGTTTTCATCAGGTTTGTCAAAGATCAGATGGTTGTAGATGTGTGGTGTTATTTCTGAGTCCTCTGTTCTGTTCCATTGGTCTATATATCTGTTTTGGTACCAGTACCATGCTGTTTTGGTTACTTTAGCTTTGTAGTATAGTGACCTATACGATTTTATCATACAATTCTGTACATTTTTCTTCTGAACAAAAACATTTTTTAAAGAAAAAATTCAGCAACAGTTTAATTTACATGAAACTCATTACTTTTACAATGCTTTTTATCACCCAGAAGCAGCAGGTCTTACTACTGAAAACTTAGTGATGACATAAGTTGGGTGACAAAGCAGTGGCTCTATTTTACAATCTGGTGTATGATTTAAGGTATCAAACAATATATGATGCTGTTTCTCCCATAACCAAAATACACCAGATAATGAAAGTGTATTTTTGTCTATTATTTCTAGAAATGTAAGGTTTGCCAGTTTAAAAGTGTTGATTAAAAAAACAAAAGAAGGAATATTATAGATGTTGACAAAGAACAATTTTTATTAAATTGGAAATGGAGACTATCATAATTTGGATACATTGATGCTATTTAACCAGCAAGCAAAGAAAGATGTTTCTGTACAGGCCAAAGTAATTAACCATATTACTGCGGTGGCTAATTGAAATACTTGAAGTTTGAAAGAGACAAAGAAGAAAGGAAATAACCAGAAGCTAGGTCAGTTTCCTCTTAGTACTTAGAACTTCTATGTATAATAGTAACATTATAAACCAAAAATTATATAAATTGAAATCTAGAAAATTTAGTAATGAAAGTTTGGGTTATTTCCAAAAATAAAAAGTTATTATAATTTAGTCTTTTTATGTCTTTTTATCTTTTTAGACATTATCTTATAAAATACTACCTCTTTTTCAACCCCCTTCTGTACTCTGCTACTCAAAGTGAAAATATTTGTACATCCCTTTATATGTTATGTCTAATAATTTTTCTTCAAATTTTTGCCTTCCTAGACTACCTTTGAATTATTTACTTTGTTCATTCATCCATATCCAATTTACTAATTATTTCCTTTTGCTACAAAAATTATTCTCTGAAGAGATGACTTCCAGAATGTCAATGTAAAGCAAGAAAAGTATCTTTGAAAGGGATGAGATGCCAAACTTTGTAGGCAAAGACTTTAAAGCATCTATTATATATATGTTCAAATAACTAAGGGAATTTATGCTTTTAAAAGTAAAAGAAGGTATAATGACAATGCCACTTGAAATAGAAAATATTAAGAAAAGAGATAGAAATTACAGGAAACACCAAATACATTCTAAAGGTGAAAAATACAAACAATTGAAATTTTAAAATTACTGAAAGGGCATCAAGGTAGATTTGAATTTGCAGAAGAAAGATATAAACTTCGAAGCCAGATCAAATGAGATTATGTAATTTAGAAGAACAAAGAAAAAAGATGAAGAAAAATGAACAAAAAGACTTCAAAATATAAGATACCATTAATACCAGTGTATATGTTTAGTGGGAATGTATGGTGGGAATATCAGAAGGAGAAGAAATAGACAAAGGAGCAGAAATATTTTTTAAATATAAAAGCTTCTAAAATTAATTAAATGAAAAACGAAAGAAAACTACATGTCCAAGAAGCTCATCAATCTCCAAGTAGGATAAATACATACAAAGATATCCACACTCCAAAACATTATTTTTTTAAAGTCAATAGCCAAAAACAACAGGATAATCTTGAAAGTGGCAAGAGAAAATTGACTCATATAATGAAACTCCAAGATTAACAGCTCATGTCTCATTTTAAGTAACGGAATGTAGAAGGCAGAGGTAGTAGAGTTGTTGTAGAAAAAACAAAACAAACAAACAAAAATAGGTTCTTGTAGCACAACCAGGAAACATTAAGCAAGCAGACAATTTGAAGGGTGATGGGGAGTAGAATTTATTGTGTGAAAAGGAAACAAACAAACAAAAAAACCTCTCAGCAAAGTGAGACACGTTCCTGTTAACAGATCCCCAGCTCACAGATTGAATCTCAGGTCACCACATGGGAACGGGAGAAGCCAGGATCCTCCCCCTGCAAATGACATGAACTTCCTGTGGCTCCACCCTGTTCTCCCAGCGTGAAGGCCAGTGGGAGATTCTCCAGGGACGATCCCCCTTATCTTCCTCCTGCATCTATCAGAATGACACATTCAGTGTATCAAAAGAAAAAAGGAAAAGTTCTATGAAGCAGTGTCTTACATCCAGCAAAATTGTCTTTCAAAAATGAAGGCTAAAAAACTAACAATTACTTATTTATAGTTAGTTTTAAGTAATTGTTACTAGCTGTTTTATTCATTGTCAATAACAGTTAATTGTTGCTAATATTTCTTATTAATAACACAAATAGGAAGTTCTTCAGACTGAAAGCATGTGATCTCAAACAATAAATTCACACAGTAAAACAAAAACAATCATAAAGTTAATTATATAATTATAAAATACATTATTTATGCACATATTCTTTCCATTCTTTTTGTAAGTTAAAAGTACTCTTTTAGGAATTATTGCATTAAGGCCCAGGACTGCTCACTTGGGATATGTGGTCTAGGCTTAGATCATCTTGTCCTCTCCTTTTAGCTTTTTAAGCCTACCTTTTAATTGTTCGTTAAATGTTTCGACCACACTGTGGCTGGGGTGTGATATGAAACATGGAGAGCCCATGATATGTCCCATGATTACGTCCACTGCCTGTGCCACAGATATGGAACCATTGTCAATCACAATCTGTTCAAGGAAGCCAAACAGGAAAACAAATGAGATATTTTAGGGCCTCAATAATGTAGCTAGGGTTAGTGGAAAGTATAGGGACTAAGCCAAACCAGGAGAAAGTGTCAACTCCAGTCAAGATCCAGCAGAACCCTCTGGATTGGATAAGGGACCCAGAATAATCCATCTGCCAAGAACATCTTATGGGCCCAGAAGGCAACTGGTTACACATGTGCTTGCTCTCAGTGGGGAGCAATCCAGTCTCTGCATTTAGCTGAAAAATATGATATTCTCATTTGTTATCTTCCCCTTTCTTAGCACAGGAGACATTCTGATGATCATCTACATGGATAACAAGAAGCTTATTAGAAGCACAACAGATTTTTATCCATATGTTTTGTTCCCATAAGAGAGCTTATTTTATATGCCAGTCCAAGGCTTGCTAATGGCCCAACCAAACACCTCAATGTTTAGTCACAGCTATGAGTCGGTAAAAATATTGTATGGCTCATTTACTGCGGTAACCTGGATGGTAATATCACATGAAGCTTGGCCTGTTGTGCTGTGCATGCTTTATTATTCTTGGTAAGGGACAGGTTTCTGAGGCTGGTTGGTATTTGCATCCCATTCCATCCTGGTAAAAGTTAACTAAGAGGAGCCATAAGTGACATTCTCACTAGGTGCCTACAGTCAGGTTGGTTTGCAGTATTCCAAATCACCCAAAAAATGACCTCAACTTCAAAGATTCCTGTCAGAGACCGGGGGCAAAGAAAAGAAGAACTTCCCATAGACAATATGTATCAATGATATGTTTGGTAATAAGGGACATAACAATGGAGATTCGTAGGGTCCCAAATGGACCCACCCGTAGTCTACCCTGGACAAAGATACTGGTGATGGTAATCTCAGAACCAAAACTGAAGAACATTAATTTCTTCCTCTCATCTTGGTACTAGGAGTTATGGAAATTATGGTCACCTATGTACTGGTATTCAAAAGGCACAGAAGTTCAATTTCCCTCCACCTCCCCATTACATTCCTGGGAAGGTCCTTGGCATAGGACACATATCTCCCCGTGAAGACAGAAGAAACAAACCATAACCCCTAATCTTGCTTATTTTTGAAAATTTACATGTTCAGGTAATGGAAAGTTTGGTGGGGCTCTCCAATTTCTTTCCAGATTTACTGGATGCGTGAAGGGGATAACCACTGTATCAACCATAGGAGCTGTCATTGGAAGCTGTGTCAGGGCCTGATATCTGTAAATGAGTTTTCTGTGGGGGAGGGGACAGGAGATGAATAAAGCAGCAGGCCGGGGTTAGCAGTTATCCCCCAGCCAGGACTCATGGTGTTTTATTTTCAGCTAATGTTTGGTAAAGAAATACTTAAAATGTGAAGATAAAAACCAAACATTACAATGAGTTAACTTTTTTAACCTTAAGAAAGGACAATAAGCTTGCAGCAATATTTTTTTTTTATTTCTTTCAGATCCATTTCTTTCGCTTTAACAAAGACCAGAGTATACTTTCCTTCACTGTGTGTTTTTGAGAGGTGACAGCGTGCTGGCAGTCCTCACGGCCCTTGCTTGCTCTCGGCGCCTCCTCTTTCTGGGCTCCCACTTCGGCGGCACTTGAGGAGCCCTTCAGCTCGCCGCTGCACTGTGGGAGCCCCTTTCTGGGCTGGCCAAGGCCGGAGCCAGCTCCCTCAGCTTGCAGGGAGGTGTGGAGGGAGAGGTGCGGGCGGAAACCGGGGCTGCAGGGGTGCTTGCCGGCCAGCTGGAGTTCGGGTGGGCGTGGGCTGGGCGGGCCCCACACTCAGAGCAGCCAGCCGGCCTGCTGGCCCTGCCTGCCCTGGGCAGTGAGGGGCTTAGCACCTGGGCCAGCAGCTGCTGTGCTCAATTTCTCCCCGGGCCTTAGCTGCCTTCCCGTGGGTCAGGGCTCAGGACCTGCAGCCCGCCAGGCCTGAGCCTCCCCCCCACCCCCGCTCCGTGGGCTCCTGTGCAGCCGGAACTTCCCCGACGAGCACCGTCCCCTGCTCCAAGGCGCCCAGTCCCATCGACCATCCAAGGGCCGAGGAGTGCAGGCGCATGGCACGGGACTGGCAGGCAGCTCCACCTGCGGCCAGGTGCAGGATCCACTGGGTGAAGCCAGCTGGGCTCCTGACTGTTGGGGACTTGGAGAACCTTTATGTCTAGCTAGGGGATTGTAAACACACCAGTCAGCACCCTGTGTCTAGCTCAGGGTTTGTGAATGCACCAACTGACACTCTGTATCTAGCTAATCTAGTGGGGAGGTGGAGAACCTTTGTGTCTAGCTCAGGGTTTGCAAACGCACCAATCAGCGCCCTGTCAAAACAGACCACTAGGCTCTCTGTAAAATGGACCAATCAGCAGGAAGTGGGTGGGGCCAGATAAGAGAATTAAAGCAGGCTGCCCAAGCCCGCAGCGGCAACCCGCTGGCTTCCACAGTGTGGAAGCTTTGTTCTTTCGCTCTTTGCAATAAATGTTGCTACTGCTCACTCTTTGGGTCCACACTGCCTTTATGAGCTGTTACCACTCACCACGAAGGTCTGCAGCTTCACTCTTGAAGCCAGCAAGACCACGAACCCACTGGGAGGAACGAACAACTCCAGACGCGCCGCCTTAAGAGCTATAACACTCATCGCGAAGGTCTGCAGCTTCACTCCTGAGCCAGCGAGACCACGAACCCACCAGAAGGAAGAAACTCTGAACACATCCGAACATCAGAAGGAACAAACTCCGGACAGGCCGCCTTTAAGAACTGTAACACTCACCGCGAGGGTCCGCGGCTTCATTCTTGAAGTCAATGAGACCAAGAACCCACCAATTCCAGACACATTTTGACTTCCCAGGGCACCCATGAAGATTTCCTCAAAATCTGGCCAATGATGAGATTCTTAAAATAGTCATAAATGCAAGCCATCAAATGATTATGTTTGAGAGTTGGAAATATTCCCATTTGACTCTCAGTTTCTTATGAAAATTGATCATTATATATAAATTATTACATATATCAATAATATAAAATATGTAAATATATTATTAAAATGAATTTTAATAAACTGAGCATTAAGTGGGAATATTTTTATATTTTATATATATATTTTTTTCCATGGCATGTGGTGTTTAAGGGGTACTGCTGTCTTGATGAAATATAGCATAAACAAGTTTTTCTTACATGTAATAAATTTTATGTCTTAAGCAATTTTAGTTATCATAATAAATTATCTTATGCAATTTTAGTTATATTAATAAAAGCCCAAACTCACATGTAATATTCAATTAAGTAGGTCATTAATAAAGTAATACTGTGTAACTTTTTCTGAAGAAGGAAGACCTAAGGAAAAATGTTAGTTTATAACATTTGAAATGATGTTTATTAACTTTAATTAGTATTTTTATATACCTTGAAAGATTATTGATGTGACTTTTAAATAAGCCAATCCAATTTATTTTTTTGTATCATACCTTTAAATATCTTACCCAGTAAAGAGATACAGAAAATAGATCTGGCCAAATCTTAAGAATTAAAAGTCTCCTTTTATATATATATCTCTTTTTACCTAATTTATTTTAATTGTGTGTTATATATAGCATGGGGAAAAAATAATACCAGCCCAATTGATTAGGCTTGGGAAGTAAAAAAAAAAATGTGATTGTAAAGGTAGATAGGATTGATTGTGTAAAATGGTAGTGAAATTTTGTATTAGTGTGCCAGGGCTGCAACGACAAAATATCAAAGACTGGATGACTTAAAACACAGAAAGGTATTTTCTCAGAATTCTGGGGCCTAGAAGTCCAAAATCAAGGCATTGGTAGGATTGATTTCTCCTGAGGACTCTTGCTTTGACTTGAAAATGGCCACCTATTCTCTGTGACATTATATGGTCACCCTTTAGTATGTGTGTTGTCTATATCCTAAGTATCGCTTTTTATTAGGACATCAGTCATATTGAATTAGGACCTATACATGTAGCTACATTTTACTTTAATTACCTCATTAATACTCCTACCTCCAAATATAATCACATTCTGAGCTACTGGGGATAAAGACTTCAACAGGTAAGTTTTGGAGGGATACAATTTAGCCAAAACTAAATTCTGAATAAAATTTAGAATGATATGCTGGTGGTAAATGTAGAAATATATGGACCAATCACTTTAAATGTAGTAATTTCCAATAATAAAATAAATACAGACTTCTGTATAAATTGGAATAAAATAGACTAGTTAAAAAGACAGAATGCTACTTATTTAATATTAAATATGAATTAAGAATAACTTTAATGCATGATGTATTTATGAGCCATGTAATTACTTACAAGGTTGGAAAATGCCTAACAAAGTGAAGTCAGGAACAAGAAAAGCTATCTTGAAATAAAAACTTAAGGACTGCAAATTTTTTTTGACATTTGATCCAGAAAAAGTATCTCTATAAACTTCAAAACATTTATTTGTTTTTGATGACTACTTTGAATCTATAATCAATAGACTATGAGCTTTGAACAACTAATGAAACACCTGTCCCTGTCATAGCCAATTTGGGCCGAGGCATCAGGGCAGAGATGGAAGTTGCGGGAGTGGCAGGAGTGGATGAGCTCACCTGGGGACTTCGCAGAGAAAGGAGACAGCTGTGGAGATCAAGGCTCCTGGGAAGTTGTTTGGCATGGTTTGTCCAGAGACAGGACATGCTATAGCAGAAACTTCAGGCCTGGTAATCTACAAAAAAAAAAAAAAAAAATTAAAAATAGAAGGAATGTGTAGCTTGCAGTTCTGGGGGCTTGAAAATCCAAAATAAAGGCATTAATAGATTCAGTGTTCTGGTGAGGACCTGTTTCTCATAGACAGGACCTTCTGTGTCTTCACATGGTAGAAGTGCAAAACAGCCCCACTTTTATAAGGGAATTAATACTATTCTTGAGATCGTCACTCGCATGATCTAATCGACTTCTAAATGTCCTGCCTCTTAATACTATTGCACGGGGGATTAAGTTTCAAGGTATAAATTTTGAGGGGACACCAACAATTAAGCAATGCCTAAATAGAGCACCCTCTGTTTGTTATTTTAAAGATAATCTCTTCTTAAATAATATGTTTTATTGACTAGTTACAGTAAGAATAGAAGAATAAAAACATTTTACACAACAATTCTGTTTTGATTTGTACATGCTTCAGTTGTTTTGAAAACTAATATTTTATACCATAAATAACAAACGAAAAATTCAGGGTCGTATATAAGCCATGTCTTAGTCCATTTCTGCTGCTATAGTAAAGTACCAGATACTGGGTAACAGAAATTAATTGGCTCACAGTTCTAGAGTCTGGAAAGTCAAAAATCAAGAGGTCAGCATCTGCTTAGAGCTTTCATGATGCATCTTTCGAAAGGCAAAAGAGAAAACCCACTCCTAAAATCTGTTTTATAAAAGTGTTAAATCGCCTCTGAAAGCCTCACCTGATAATAATGTCACAATGGCAATTAAATTGCAACGTGTTTCTGAGGGAAGACTCAAACCGTAACAATCCATAAGCGGAAAGATAAAAAATTTTTAGAAAAAATAAAAGTGACAAGGGTTAGAATAGTAATACATGTTGTTAGACTGTAGGTGGAATTTGAATAAAGCATAAGGGATATTCTTAAAAATTTGGGGTGTCAGAATTCTCTACTGACCTAAAAGCATAAACCACCTTTGCTTAGCCTCTTGCCTGTTGTGATTCAGGCTGTCCCTTTGCAAAACAGACTGACTTGATTGTGACTACTAAATATCATTGCTGTGCATGCAAAATTTTAAGCAATAAGCAATAGCCTCATCTTATATGAAGACTATAGAATAAAAGAAATAATATTAGGAGTTTTGAATTCTTGTACTTACATTTTCTTGTTTAGTCCAGTTGTGGACAGCAACTATTATAGTATCCAAATAGTTCATGTATTAATGATGAGACAAGCAATTCGAGTTTTAATTTGAGGGATTCATTTCCACTGTAGCATATTGAAAGTAGTCACTCATTTTCAAATAGCAGCTGCTGACATCTCAGTAAGAATTTGAAAAATTTTATTTAGAAACCAATCTGCTTACACATAACTTATGTAAGTTGTTTCCCTCATTCTTCATTGCAGAGGATATCTGCATAAAAAAGGAATACTTATTTCTTCAGAATTCATCTGTGATAGCAGTTTTGCCACCTAAAATGATAATTTTCTCTCTGTGGCATCAAAACTGATAGCTTTGGAAAGACTGAGACTTGCAAAAATGCTTTTATTTTTACACAAATAATATATACTTTCTCGTTATAACTATTTCCAAGATCTTTTTGGAAGTAATACTGCCATGATAGTGTTATAAAATGTCTCAATAATATTAATTTGAAAAAGTTGTATCTTTGTTTATCCTCAACATTTAATTGTAATAGTCGATTCCCATTATAATATAAATTATAACGGGTAATTAAATGTCATAATTTTAGAAATATTACAGAATATTTGTCATGTATCTCTCTTTTGATCTTCTCATAAACTTTATACGAAAGGTGTTATTTCATTACTGATGAATAAATTAAGGTATTAACATCCATCTACTAATGGAAGTTAAACTTTTACCATCCCATAAGAAATATTAACATCTGCCAGATATTGCTTCTTTGAACATTTTAAAATTAAAGAAATGTAATAAGAAAGACAAATAATGCAAAAAGCTATAGTCTTTTTTTTACATTGGTTGCAATTTATTTGATGAAGGAAACCGTATTCAGAGTGCGAAGCACACTTCCTTTAATTAAATGTAAGTGTAATATGTGTCTTGTTTTTAGAAGGTTTAGAGTATATGCTATATAAACTGTGCTGTTCTGAGATGATGATAGTCAAGTGTTATCAATATTAAATGATAAAGCTACAGTTCAATAAAAATATTGTATTCAATTTATAATAAAATATTGTGTGCAAGTATAAGCTCAACTAAAATTGTGCTAAAAACAATTAAAAATCAGGACTTGCAAATCTTCAAAAGCAATGAAATCTAACACGAATGTTGCATATTACTCTTTCATTTTGTGCAACTTGTTAGGTAATTTTGAAGGAAACTATGATTGTGAATCAAAACACTATTTTTAAAGGTGTCTAATAGAGATATTCTTAAAATCCATAAAGTACATGTGTTACATTAATCGTTGAAATTCCTACTTAAGGATACTTTAAATAGTGGAATTTAATTATAGTGTCTTTTACACGGAATGACATGAATAATGCTGAGCACAAGGAGCTGGATATAACAGAGCAGGTGCTGAGTAACTGTGTGGTGTTACAAGCCCCTTGGGGACAGTAACTGATACTAGGGCTACTCTGTAGTTGTTAGAATGATGCATTTTTTGATTTGGGTAAAGTTTTGTTAAAGTGTTAAATTTGCAACATTATTTTTGCTATAGAGTTAGGATTTGTAAACATATATACTTATAACCTAAATAACAGAGAAAAACTCTCAAAAAGGAAATGATATTTATTCAGGAATAGGGCATTGCAATGAAAATATGCATACCATAGTAAACTATGTGCATATTCAAGAAGGTAAAGGAAGTCAAAGTTTTTAAAGAAAAAATGAGGAGGATTGGATTATAATTTTGAAATAATTATCCTTGCCTGCAAAGATCAATAACAATATAGTCTAAGGTTGTACTAGAACTTGATCAGTCTAAGGTTGTACTAGAACTTGCTGGGTAGATGATCTTGAAGTATTTTTTGTTTAAGGTGGTAATGGCTTTTGTTTAGGGTTGTGGCTTTTAGAGTCTTTTGTGATAGTTCTTATTGTCAGGCATTTGTGCATCAGAACTCTCTCTTCACAGCCATCTCTGGGTTTATTAATCAGTTTTTTTCTCAACACCAATGATATGGTTTGGCTCTGCGTCCTCACGCAAATCTCATGTAGAATTATAATCCCCATATCTCAAGGGAGGTGCCTGGTGGGGCTTAACTGGATCATGGGAGCAGATTTCCCTATTGCTGTTCTCATGATAGGAGGGACTTTTCATGAGATCTGATGGTTTAAAAGTGTATGGCATTTCCCTTCACTCTCACTCCCTCTCCTGCTCTGCCATGGTAAAGATGTTCTTGCTTCCCCTTTGTCTCCTGCCATGATTGTAAGTTTCCTGAGGCCTCTCAGTCGTGCTTCTGGTACAGCCTATAGAATTGTGAATCAAACCTCTTTTCTTCATGAATTACTCAGTCTCAGGTAGTACTTTATGGCAGTGTGAGAATAAAGTAATACAACCAGTAACTCCCTTTGTTTTCTTTTTTTATTACTTTAAATTTTCATAGGTATATAGTAGGTGTAAATATTTTAGGGATACATAAGATATTTTGATACAGGTATACAATATGTAATAATCACATTAGGGTAAATGGGGTATCTATGACCTCAAGCATTTATCCCTTTTTTTGTTACAAACAATCCAATTATAATTTTAACTATTTTAAAATGTACAATAAATTATTGACTGTAGTCACCCTCTTGTGCAATCAAATATTAGATCATATTGGTTCTGAGTATAGTTTTGTACTCACTAATGATCTCTACCTTCTCACCCCTGACCACCCAGGTACATTCTCTGTGTTTTACCATAAAATATGTTGAAATTTATCAAATGATTTTCAGCAATTGAAATAATCATATGGTGTGTGTAAATGCTCATTCTGTTGATATAATGTATCACATTGATTGATTCACGTATATTGAACCATCCTTGCATTCCTGTGATAAATCCCACTTGGTAATAGTGGGTGATCTTTGTAATATGTTGTTGGATTTGGTTTGCTTGTATTTTATTGAGAATTTTTACATCAATGTTCCTCAGGAATATTGGCATGTAGTTTTCTTCTTTTGTTGTATCTTTGTCTAGTTTTGGTATCAGTATAATACTAGTCATAGAATGAGTTTGGAACTATTCCCTCCTCTTCTATTTTTCAGAATAGTTTGAGTTGGATTAATATTAGTTCTTTTTTTAAATGTTCGGTAAACTTCAGCATTAAAGCCACCAGTTCCTAATCTTTTCTGTGCTTGGAGGTGTCTATTACCATTTCAATCTTTATCCATTTCTTCTAGGTTCTAGGTTCTCCAGGTTTTTTTTTTTTTTTTGGCAAATAGTTGTTCAGAGTAGTCTCTATTGATTCTTTGAATTTCTGTGGTATTAATTATACTGCCTACTTTTTCATCCCTGATTTTATTTTTTTTGGTCTTCAATGCATTTTTTCTTAATTAGTTTGGCTAAAGGTTTCTCTATTTTGTTTATCTTCTTAGAAAAAAAAACTTTTCATTTCACTGATTTTTTTGTATTATTTTCTTCATTTCAATTTCATTTATTTCTGCTCTGATCTTTGTATGTTTTCTTCTACTAATTTTGAGACTGGTTTGCTCCTGTTTTTCTAAGTCTTTAGGAGGCATTGTTAAAATATTTATTTGATTTTTTTTAACTTTTTTGGTGTAGATGCTGATTGCTATAAACTTTTCTGTTAGTGTTGCTTTGGCTGTATCCCACATAATTTGGTATGTTACGTTTTTATTTTCATTTGTTTCAAGAATCTTCTAAATTATTTTCTTAATTTCTACATTTACCCAATGCTCATTCAGGACCATATTGTTTAATTTCCATATGTTTTTATTGTTTCTAAAGTTTCTTTCATTATTGGATTCTAGGTTTATTCCATTGTGGTCAGAGAAGACATTGGATTTCATTTTTTTTAAATTTTTTAAAGCTTTGTTTTATGGCCTTACATATGGTCTTTGAGAATGATCCACAGGCTGAGAAGAAAAAATGTATATTCTGCAGTTGTCGGGTGAAATGTTATGTAAATATTTATTTGGTTAATTTATCCTATAGTGCTGATTTAGTTTGATGTTTATTTTGTTGGTTTTCTGTCTGGATTATCTGTACCATGCTGAAAGTTGGGTGTTGAAGTCTCCACCTAGTATTGGGGTCTATACCAATACTATAGTTCTAATAATATTTGCTTTATATATATGTGTGTGGCTCCAGTGTGGGGTGCCTACACACACACACACACACATATACACACACAATACATATATTACAATAAATATACACAATATGTAATAATAAATATTCTAATTCAGCACAGCTGAATTCTAACACAGCTTATATTTTTGGCACACTTTCTTTACAAATTAGAATTTTAATTAGTAACCTTAATTTTTAGTAAAAACTGAGGAAGAAAGCAATTTTTAACATTTGTCAAACATCAGTATTTTTTAGATAAGAATGATTTTATAATTTTAGAAATATGTTTCTTCATAACATAATTTGTAAATGTACTAATAGTCTCAAATACATTTAGTATTTCTATAAAATGTTAAAAGCCAAGGAAGACATTTATTTTCAACAATTTGTTTTAGTTTTTAATACTTATACATCTTATATGGAAATGATTCAGACATTAATGAAAATTTATCACTTAATTTACCTTAAAAATACATATAATTTCAAATTACATTAAAAGTTTACTTATAAATCTCCAAGTTATTTACATTTACCTAATTTATTTATTTTTTACAGTTAACAATTATACCCAGATTACCTATGAAAATTGAGACATTAGACAAATCTAGTCATCCTTTCAAGTCATTTCCCTGCTAATCACTTTTATAGCCAGTGATGATCAGTTGTTCATCTCTGTAAGAACTCTAAATTTAAATACATAGTTACTTTGCTGATCACTCAGTTTGTACACATATTTTTATTAAACAAATAATATTAAATTAATACTACATATGAAAGTGTTAAATAAAGATAATTCTATTTTGGGTTTCTAGTTTTATAACTTTAAAATAAATATCAGAGATAAATACTATCTTATCTGAGCAGTAAATTCAGGCAAACATGTATGCTGAAAAATTTGATGACATTTCTGTTTTTATTTTATCAGTAATTTACAAATCAGCATATTTATCAGAGATTCACTTAAGTCACATAAATTAAAATGCATTGGGGTTAATTAATATATATTTTTATATGAGCATTTATTTACCTAAGCAAATCTGAATCAAATTTCTTACTTATTTCTGACTGACTATACCAGATTTTACCCTGTGGACACAATATACAACATAATACATGCAAATATGTGTAAGCATGGCTAAATTCATATGTACAAAAAAATCTTATAGCTTTCATTTTAGGTTTTTAGTCATGAGATAGTAGCACAAACATAATGGTTTATAAAAAATAGGTGAATCCAAATTACAATTCTGACTAAACGAGACATCTGTTCATATGGTTAATTTTTTTTCTTTTTTGCCCTGATTGGTAATCTGATGAAGGCTGTAGATTAAAGTTTTGGGTAAAGCAGTTTGGCTTAAAAATCTCCTTCTCATTTTTTCCTCCTTTTTTAGTTTCAAATGAGTTTAAATTTTCATTTTTGACATTTTAGCTAGGACTGGCAGAATTGTATAAGAAAAAACAAAATCTCCAAGTACCCTTGAACTAGCAATAAAATCAATTTTTTGTTTGCCAAAAAGTTGTTTGACTAGTCAATGCAGTCAGGAAAGCATTTTAGCTTTTTTGTTTTATTTTGTTTTTCTGTGACTTGCATGACAGAAAAACCAAAAGTTGTATGCTGAACACAGATATTTTAATTGTTGCTCTGGGCTTAAGATTTTTACCGGTTTTATCTGAGAAAACTTTTATAAGCATTTCTTTAGTCATTTTTATTTTAGACTATTAACATTTCAGTGAACTGTTCTGTCACCCCCACATGATTATTAGCCAGGAAAACCTAAATGTACCTTTCCAAAAGGTATTTAAGTTGTTACAATTTGGAAAGCCATTGATTTGAAAATGCCTCAAAAACTTTCTTTTTTATTTTTTTATATTGGCTGGAATGCCATGAGCAGTAAGTTTTATCTCAACATCTGGAGAAGAGTCAGCAAATTCAAAGTAAGCAGATAAATCAACAACAACAACAAAAAAGAGAAAACTTAGGTTCTACATATTAATTTATAGTTGTAGTCTCTTAATTGGATAGCAAGAATCAAAAAGTTTGGGGAGTTGTAATCCCCAAGATGGTCATTGACCCAAAATGTGCACAAGAAAAATCTATGTAGCTAACTTGAGTCCCAGAGATCTCGGCAGATCTTAATGTTTGAAATTCTCATTACATTTTATGTAATTGCTTGAAAGCAAAGAAAATTATATAAACTCTGTCACTGAATGTCAGAAGTTTGAACCAGTGTTTAGATGATGGCAACTGTCCTAGTGGCTTTTAAGGAGCCATCCCGGGTCCACCATTTAGAATACTTATTTTTGCTCTTAGATTTCCCGAAAGTAGCTAGGGAAAAGAGCTGAATATTTTGCAGATGCATGCAATCAAATCAAAATGAAACCAAAATCAGAGTGCTCACAAAAATTGTAACCCGGACATAAAGATCAAACAAAATATTAAATTAGGCATGCAAAAAGAAACAAAAGTAAATTCACCAGAAAAGACATGCCTCATAGAATGCAAATTCTGTAGAAACTAGAGCACTCAAACCAAAAGGACACTTGTGTTTACATAAGAAAGAACTTTCCAGGGAAGATAAAATAATCTTTTATTATCTTAGGAGGAATGTAAGGTCCTTTATTAAAGGTAGCCTTATAATCAAAACAAATCCTGAACAAAGTTTAAAAAACCTTCTAACAAAAAGAAGTCTTTCCCTGAGAAAAGATTCACCAGGGCAGAAAGGGCAATCTGTGGAAGTGGAGAGCTGTAAGGGCTCATGTGGGTACTGCACCACAGCCCCAGTAATTGCTGATTTCTTCTGAATGTGATCTTGCTTCATGGCCTGCTTCTGGACACTATGTGTGTCAATCTAAATAACAAAAAGAAAGAAGCTCTCTAAAATAAGATGAAATATCATTTCATCTTATATTTATTTGGGGATAGGGCATTTCAATAGGAATATGTGTGTCATAGTAAACTACGTGCATAATCAGGAAGGTAAAGGAAGACAAAGATTTTTAACAAAACGATCAGGAGGATAACAATTGTTTTAGATAAAGAGCTTCAGTGATAGGGATCACTAATAAGTGTGGTGCCAATCTGAGGTTGGACTGGCAGTTGTTGGGCAGATGTCTTTACAGGAGTATTTTTTGGTGTAAGGCTGTGATGGCTTTTGTGCAAGGTGCAGTTTTTGAAATCTTTTATGATAGCTTTTGTTATCAGGTATTTGTGCATGAGAACTCTCTTTTTATTACCTTTACATATCAATAAAAATTTTCATAGTACTCACACATGTTACCATTTTTAAAGTTTGAAAAAGTCACATGAAAAGTATCAAAACATTTCTCAGGATTTTTCATTAGATATTTGTGGTATTATTATTATATCTCTAATTTTTAAATTTACTTTCTTCTCCCATTTTGTTCCAGTATAATTAATAAGAATATTAAACTAAAATACATATATTTTATGTTTTATTTGTAAAATGTATTTTTTTTACAAAATTAGCTCCTAATTCTTAATGAAATATAAATGCATGTGTATTTCCTTTTACTTCAGTAGGTTTTCCTTTTGTGATCTTTAACTAAACTGTGAGAAGATGGATATAAAAAAGCACAGATACATAGAGAAAAATATAATTAATTTTTTGCTTCATGGTCTTGTGATGTAACATGTAAAAAAGAAATGAGGTTAAGCTTAATCCTGAAAATTTTATTTTCTCTTTTCTTCAAAAATGTATTGTTTTAATGTTCTTCTTTCTTGTCATTTTCAAGATGTAGTCTATTTGGTCATGCTGATTGTATTGAATTTAATGTGCATCATAGTAAAAATGTCAGAAACTGTTAGCAGAATCTTCCAACATTCAGCCATTTTCAGTTTTTACTGTTTAAGAAAAACAGAATCTGAATTAGTTGTACAAATTTAAAAGTCAAGAGATTTCATATAAATATCTGGATTTGTTTTCTAAAACATTTTGAACACACCTTGACATAATTCCTAATTTTGCTTAACCCGAATTATGTATGTTTCTCCCATTAAGCTGTGCTGACTGTCTCTAGTTCATTATAGCCCTTACCATGCACCAGTAACTACTTTGATTAACTTAATATTTCCCTTTGCTCATTTATATTAGTTCCCTACCTGTACTAATATGACATTATATGTAAGAGACTATATACTTAATTGTATTAATCTGCTTAGTCTTCCATAACAAAATACCACAGACCAGGTGGCACAAACAACAGAAATTTGTTTTCTCAATTCTGGAAGCTAGAAGTTCATGATCAAGATGCCAGAAAATTTGCTTTCTGGCAAGGATTCTGTTCTTGGCTTATAGATGGCGCTTTTGTTTTTGTGTCTTCATGTAGCCTTTCTTTTGTGCATGTGGACAGAGTGATCCCTGGCATCACTTCTTTTTTTTTTATAAGGATACTACTTCTATGAAATCATATTCAAAATCTTTATTATTTCATTTAGCTTAATTATCTCTAACAGATCTGATATGTTTAGGCTTTGTGTCCTCACCCAAATCTATCTCATCTTGAACCCTAATACCGAGGTGTTGAGGGAGAGACCTGGTGGGAGGTGAACATAGAGGTGGTTCCCCTCATACTGTTCTGGTGACAGTGAGTGAGTTCTCACAAGGTCTGATGGTTTTATAAGGCAGTTTTCCCTACTCTTGCACACTTTCTCTTTCCTTCCACTATGTGAATAAGGTCTTTGCTTCCCCTTCACATTCTGCCATGATTGTAAGTTTCCTGAGGCCTCCCAAGCTATGTGGAACTGTAAGTCAGTTAAACCTCCTTCCCTTATAAATTACCCAGTCTCAAGTATTTTTTTATAGCCGTGTGAAAACGGACTAATACTGTATCCTATTTACAAATGCAGTCATAGTGGGGGTTGAAGCTTCAACATATCAACATATAAATTGTGGGGGTGGGGGAGAACAATTTAGTACATAACATTTATATTTTGTTGTATAATTAGAACTGATCCTTATTGACAGACTGCTTAGTATAGTCCCTCAGTAATCCCTTGGTTGAGTATATTCAATGTTTACTGGCATTTTACACCACATTTTCTAGACATCTCTTGTTTCAAGAAATATTTATTGCACTGCTCAATGTTCAAATACTGTTCTGTAAGTTGAAAAATCTCATGAATAAAATGGGAAAAAAAGCCTGCTCAGAAATTTCTTGCATTCTAGTGAGGAGGTGAGACACAATAAATAAAATAAAAACAGTATAACATGGTAAAGATAATAAGTACTGTGGTAATGAATATATTATCAAAAATAAATAAAAGAAAGGGGGTAGAGAATAATAAAGGAAGAGTCACAGAATGCAATTTAAAATAGAGCTACCTGGAAAATTATCTTTGGAAAGGTGGCCTTAAACAGAATTAAAGGAGGTGAAAGACTAAGTTATGTGGATATTTGGAGGAAGAATATTTCAGATAGAGGGAAATGCAAAGACAAAGGCTGTAATGCAGAAGCATTTCTGACATGCTTAAAGAAGAGCTGAGTCAAGTGCAGTTGGAGCTAAACAAGTGGTTAAGAGGTAGTAGGAAAGATATTAAGAGAGGCATCAGAAGGGCCTTGGAGGCCATACGGGATTTATGTTTACTCCCTATTAGATTACTTTACTAGGACCTGGGAAAAGGAGTCAATGACTCTTGCATGGTCAAGACTGATTTTGTCTAAATCATTTTATTAAACTCAAGTGTGCCTAGGTATAAAATGATTTGGTCACACTTTTCTTCAGTATATTTGCAAATTTTATTTTATTGTATTCCATTGTGGAATTTTGCTACAGAAAATTTCGATGCTAGTCTCCATTTTTTCACCTTTTGAATAAAAGTTTATTTTGCCAGATTTTCCAAAAAAATTTTTTTATTTGTAAAGTATATTATTTTTTTTAGATTTTAAAACACGATGTGCCATTTTAATGGTACATTAAGACTTCTATTTAAATTTGAATTTTTTATTTTATTTTTATTTTGTTATTTTAACAGTTTCCTTTTGGGGCATATGTTGGAGCTTCTTTAGACATTTAAAATATAGATAGCTGTTTTCTAATTATTTTTAACTCTTCATCCAGACATCATTTTGTTTAATTTACTCATTCATATTTTTATACGGCCTCCACTTGGAAAATTATTCTGCTTCTTTTAGCATAAAATTTTACTTTCATTTGTATTATGACTCTTTCATTTGTATTATGACTATATCATTTACCTGTTTTTGGAGCTCTTTTCATTTATACTAGATTTCTTCCTTTTTGCCATGAGATTTGTTACATAAGCTGTTGTAATTTTGCTTTGTATTCTTGCCTCATAGAGGCAACTGCTTTACTGTGTGTATGTGTATGGGGGGATGAAGTGGTATGTGTCAGGGTGATTGTCTTTATGTTTATGGAGAATTATTTAGCTACAATATTTTCAAATTCTTTGTAATTATTTTTCTAGTGATTGTCTTTGCTTTTAAAATTTGCATGCATTTTTGAGCTTTTTGTAGTTTTTATGATTATTATAGGTCTTATAAATGCTTCCATTTTTCAGAATAGTTATTTATAAATATAAATAGTTTATATGTAAGTTTCTATTGCAGGAGTTGATAGCTGTGCAAGATATTTTGAGTCATGTAGAACAATTCATAAAGATAAAAAGGTTTGAGTATGTATTCAATGTTACCTTCAAAACATCTCAGCCAAGCATATAGAGAGATTTGGGTCACCATGCAAATACCTCAACCAACAACTAAGACCCAGAAACTTTCACTTTCTGAAAATATGGCTTGACTGTGATATTACTTATTAAGCCTCTAATACTTTAGTCTTTAAAGCAAAAGTATGTATTTTCCTCTTTTGGAAACAAGGGATTTTGCCTTGTACCTGAAGGGGCAGCAGTTAAGTTTGAAATGTACCTTAGATTTTGATACCTGTTGCCATAGGTTCTTCTCTATTCTTCTCAAATTTATCTCTTCTCTATTTTATTGCTTTGAAAATTCTTTGTATCATTCTATAGTTTTGAGGGTTTTTGGGGATTGGTTTTTATATTTATCTCTGTTTTTGCCAAATGTAACTTTATGTATTTTTTTTTTGCCCCCTGTTGCTTTTAGGTGATTTTTTTAAGAAGAGTAGGTGACTGTGGGATGCAACATTTGATCTAAGTTATATTTTTTCAATATTTACTGTTTGCTCTTAATTTTTGTTTTTGTTTTTGTTTTTTACAAACGGTTTTTCATTTACTAGCAATTTAATCTGGACAGGCTCATTGAAACTAGATTTTCTCCATGTTGTCATGTACAAAAAAGAATCTGTTGCCTTTCTATAAAAAATAAAAGTTTGATAGGACTTAAACATTTTAAATCTTTGTTTTTTACCTCAAGGCCATGACAGACATTGTTACAGTATGTCCATACAGTGCACATCCCTGTAGAGACATTTCTCCTAGATTACTGCTGTATCCTATTCAAGAGGATAACTTACAATAGATTATGATTCCCATTTTAATCACAATACAATTGATATTTTAGGAAGATTTATGTGTACAGTCACATGTGCAATATGTTTATAAACCAGAGCTTTAGAGTATCTATTGCAAATAACAGAATTACAAAAATCGAATCCAGGAGTTATCATGTTTTATACTATGCTGTTAATACTGATGGTTCTAAGCAACTTTTGCTTGATTTTCAGAAATTTTGTAAGCTTGTCATTCAATAAAACATTATTCAAAATTAAATTCCAAAATTTTAAATAGAATATATTAGTACTAATTATATTAGTAGCTCAAAATTCATCACTTCTGAGTATTTCATTACATTTATTATTACTATTCTCTTAGGTTTATTGACGTCTGTTTCTGTATGGTGAGAATACTACAACTATGATGCATCTCTTCCAAATTGTGATAACACATTGTAACATGAAATCAGTCACAACTGGAATATTTGCACCTTGAAATAGGTGAAACTAAAAATCAGGTCTTGGTTTATTTTGTTGTTTCTTTTGTACACACATAAGTGACAGAGAATTTGTTAATATCGTAGATTAAATATCTGGTTCAGGAAAGAAGTCACACACATCAATAACAAATAAGTGAAGGTTTGACATAGAGCTAAAGCTGAAAGTTTTGAGTTTAATGAATATAATATGTATGATGGTGATAAATAGCTTTAGAGTTCATCACATATCAGTTATAATGGGAATAGCTTTATTGGGATATTGAAACTAGATGATTGACAGGGGAATATGAATATGATAATTTGATTCTCTGAACTTTAAAGAATTTCATTCGGAAGAAAAAAACATTCTTCTAACTGCCTCAGTAAATCATACTAATAAGCTGAGTGGTATTTAGTTTCTTTCTCTTTTCATTAATCCACCAATTATGTCTCTCTAAGATATTTCAAGAAGTACAGTTGTCCGTATTTCACGTGATGGCTGCTCTCATTGTTAAAAAAAAAAAACACAAATTTTTATAAGAACTCAGTGAATACATTTTGCAAGAAGACCAAGCTTTTTAGTCAAGGGCTCTTATTTTCTCATTTTGGATTAGGAGATGGAGATAAGAGGTAGATTTACTCAGTCTAGTATTCTGTTAGCAAATAGCTTCAAGGACTTAAACGCAAAAAGCTGTATAGCCCTTAAGATAAAAAATTAAGAAGCAATTCAAGATTAATCTCGATTTGTGTGATGCTTAAAGCATTTCATTTATATCACAAATAACAAATTGATGAAATAAAAAAGATAAAATGTCTTAATTTTTAAACTATAAATGTTATCTTAAATGGAATCCACATAGTCAAATATTAGTACAGGAACAAATATGAAAACAAATGGAAGAACATTCCATGCTCATGGGTAGGAAGAATCAATATCCTGAAAATGGCCATACTGCCAAGGTAATTTATAGATTCAATGCCATCCTACCAATGACTTTCTTCACAGAATTGGAAAAAACTACTTTAAAGTTCATATGGAACCAAAAAAGAGCCTGCATCACCAAGTCAATCCTAAGCCAAAAGAACAAAGCTGGAGGCATCACGCTACCTGACTTCATACTACACTACAAGCCCACAGTAACCAAAACAGCATGGTACTGGTACCAAAACAGAGATATAGATCAATGGAACAGAACAGAGCCCTCAGAAATAATGCCGCGTATCTACAACTATCTGAACTTTGACAAACCTGAGAAAAACAAGCAATGGGGAAAGGATTCCCTATTTAATAAATGGTGCTGGGAAAACTGGCTAGCCATATGTAGAAAGCTGAAACTGGATCCCTTCCTCACACCTTATACAAAAATTAATTCAAGATGGATTAAAGGCTTAAACATTAGACCTAAAACCATAAAAACCCTAGAAGAAAACCTAGGCATTACCATTCAGGACATAAGCATGGGCAAGGACTTCATGTCTAAAACACCAAAAGCAATGGCAACAAAAGCCAAAATTGACAAATGGGATCTAATTAAACTAAAGAGCTTCTGCACAGCAAAAGAAACTACCATCAGAGTGAACAGGCAACCTACAAAATGGGAGAAAATTTTCACAACCTACTCATCTGACAAAGGGCTAATATCCAGAATCTACAATGAACTCAAACAAATTTACAAGAAAAAAACAAACAACCCCATCAAAAAGTGGGCGAAGGACATGAACAGACACTTCTCAAAAGAAGACATTTATGCAGCCAAAAAACACATGAAAAAATGCTCATCATCACTGGCCATCAGAGAAATGCAAATTAAAACCACAATGAGATACCATCTCACACCAGTTAGAATGGCAATCATTAAAAAGTCAGGAAACAACAGGTGCTGGAGAGGATGTGGAGAAATAGGAACACTTTTACACTGTTGGTTGGATGGTAAACTAGTTCAATCATTGTGGAAGTCAGTGTGGCGATTCCTCAGGGATCTAGAACTAGAAACACCATTTGACCCAGCCATCCCATTACTGGGTATATACCCAAAGAACTATAAATCATGCTGCTATAAAGACACATGCACACGTATGTTTACTGCAGCACTATTCACAATAGCAAAGACTTGGAACCAACCCAAATGTCCAACAATGATAGACTGGATTAAGAAAATGTGGCACATATTCACCATGGAATACTATGCAGCCATAAAAAATGATGAGTTCATGTCCTTTGTAGGGACATGGATGAAATTGGAATTCATCATTCTCAGTAAACTATCGCAAGAACAAAAAACCAAACACCGCTTATTCTCACTCATAGGTGAGAATTGAACAATGTGAACACATGGACACAGGAAGGGGAACATCACACTCTGGGGACTGTTGTGGGGTGGGGGAAGGGGGGAGGGATAGCACTGGGAGATATACCTAATGCTAAATGATGAGTTAATGGGTGCAGCACACCAGCATGACACATATATACATATGTAACTGACCTGCACATTGTGCACATGTACCCTAAAACTTAAAGTATAATAATAATAAAATTAAAAAATTAAAAAAATATATGTTTGGCTGATATCAGTTCAGATTATTCGATACTCCCACATTCTCCCAAATCTGGAAGGTCAATGTTTATAGATGCATTTTAAAATACATCTATTATAGGAGTATAAAAACTTCTCCCAAAATAAATACTGACTTAAACTGACAACCAACAATTTCTTTTATTGTTTGTCTGTTGCTTGCTCTATGATGCTAGACAGTGCAAAGGCCATTATATGTATTTTGTTCTTTCATATTTACAATGAGAGTAACATTTGGTTACATTTCATATATATTTTTAATAGTTTCTAAAAGTTATTTTTATAATAATATATTAGGTCTTGTGTTCAAATACGTGTGTGTATGTGTACAACATTAACAATGCACATTAATATTGATGATAAAGGAACTTCTTACTTTGTGCATGCAAAAAAGATTAAGCCCTTATTTTATAATATTGCTTAAGACAATGTTGATGATACTGAGTAAAGTTTTCATGAGGTGAACATTGCTAAAATTTACAAAGGGTCTGGTGGTAGGAGTTATATATTTTAATCCAAAGCACCTTCTAACTAAAAACTGAAGTAATTGTACAACATCATTAAAATATACTTCCACAGATTCTGAGAATCAAATAAAAATTATTTCTTTAATTTCATATCTTCAGTATTTGTAACATTACCCTACTCCATAATTAACATATCAATAAATTTCAAAGAAAACATACACATAGAGTACTAAAATCTGAATTTTCCTACTTCCTGTCCATCTGTACCCCCTATCATTTATCACCATCTAGACACCCACCATTTAACTAGGGTAAAATAAAAATATACATTTTCTTATTCATTATGGTAAATTTACTATATAAGTTATGCTTTAATGAGCACTCAGTACTTAAACAGAAGACAGCTTAAGATCCAAGACTGAGATATTAAAATCCAAACATTGCAGCCAGAAAGAATAATTAATAAGATTATCATTAACGGAGACACTCTATATCTGTTCCTTATTTAAGCTATTTTCAGCTCAGATTTCGATAAGAAAGTTACTCTTCTTACTAGAGCTTTTGAAATAAAGCACTCATCATTGGTGAAATGATGTTCAGCAGAGAACCTTCAACTATCAAACTTAGAACAAGAACACTAACCAGGTCTCAAAAATCACAATCAGAAAAAGGCACCATTTACAGAGCAATACCTAATATACAAGAGAAGGCAATTTTAAAAGGCATATGAGAAACAAAGCAAAACAACCTTTCCCCAAATATTGATAGTGATACTTTTATTTGAAAACTGAAATAAAGCAAGCAATTGCAGGAATATTAGATAAATTTCGTTGCAATTTTCATAACATGGAAAAATGAGATTGTGGGAGAGACAAGCATGGGTTAAATACCTCACTAAATATAGAGTGCAAGAGCATTATAACGTGGGCCGTGCAAACAGTAGAACATTTCAAACCTAAGGCCTACTATTGTTGTGGCTAAGTGTTTTCACCACTTCCTTAGTAAAAAGTTACCATATAGATAAAATAAAATACATTTATAAAACTTTTACAGTCTGTTTTAATCAAATTTACCTCTACATAATCCCCATTCTATAAGTTCAGTTATCAACAAACTCCTTCATAAAGAATCCCTTCCTGGATTCTTAGAGTGTATAGGTAGTGATTCTAGATTCAAGAATGAAAAAAAAATCAATTAAAAAGAGCCTTTTACAGGACATTTTATTTATAAGGCCTATTTTTTTTGTTGGGGTTTTAGACTAATGCAATTACAGTAAATTAAAGTTTTCACATTTTATATGTAGATATTACAAGTCACATATTCCACAAACTCATTTTGAAATAGCAGAGTGCTGTGCGCAGTGGCTCATGCCTGTAATCCCAGCACTTTGGGAGGCCGAGGCGGGCAGATCATTTGAGCCCAGGAGTTTGAGACCAGCCTGGGCAATATGGTGAACTTCACTTCTACCAAAAATACAAAAAGAAAAAACTGATTAGCCAGTTATGGTGGTGCGTGTCCATAGTCCTAGCTACTAGGGAGGCTGAGGAAGTAGAATCGCTTGAATCCAGGAGGCAGAGGTTGCAGTGAGCCAAGGTGATACCACTGCACTCCAGCCTGGGTAACAGAGGGGGACCCTGTCTCAATAAGAAAAAAAGAAAACATGTAAAACATCCAAACAATGTAAACTGTTAAAATAGAAGCTGTTAAGATGGCAAATATGCACACAGAGATAGATGGTAGATGCATTGTGTTATCAGCTGCAAAACTTTTAAAGAAATTTATAATTGACACATCATACAAATTCATTGGGTACAATATGATGGTTTAATACATTTATACATAGTATAATAGTTAAATAAGGGTAATTATTATATCCAACATTGAAAGCATGTATTTCTTTATGGTGGAAACATTCAAAATCTTCTCTTCTAACTATTTTGAAATATGCATTTATTCTTACTTGCTATAGTCACCATACTATGTAACAGAGCATGTAAAGCAGATATCAAGTACATCTGTTTTCTCTACCTTCAACGCTCCAGTCAAATTTTAGCTATTTATTTATTTCCTTGTTTTTTCTTGTGGCAAGGACTAATGCAATGCATCTTTAGTCAGCCATCTTGCTGACATCACTCCTATATTGACTTTTAAAGTGAATACTGAAAGAAGTAATTGTGGATACTACTACTGTTCTTTACAATACAACCCTAGCTGGTTACTGCTACCAAGGGCTATCTATTGCTTAATTATGTCTAATTATATTTTGTTTAATCATCAATTGGGGACATTAATGTAAGTACAAACGCAAGTACTAGAGGGCTCTTATAAAACTTATAGAGGGCTCGTATAGAACATATATAATGTTCGTAATGTGTGACCTGTAATAAGGTAGTAATAATGGCTACGATTTATTAACATGTTTTTATACATAATGAAAACTTTAAACGAGGTATTCAATCTAATCAAAGTTATTTAGATAGCTTTTCACAAACAATTAGCAGTATCAAATGCAATCAAGAAGCTGCACCACATACTAATATGGTTTTCTTCTATATTTAATTTGCTGAGATTGTTTTTTAATCATGTGTGTGGATATTGAATTTTTAATAAGCATTTATTTTGCCAACACTGGGATGACCTTATGAGTATTTTCCTATAATTAATTACTATGATGAAATGCATTAGTCAAATCTCTAATATTAACTTATCACAGCTTTCCTGGAAAATTTTCAAATGATTTACTACAATCTTATTATATATGCTGGTTTCATTTATTGATTTTAAAAATATATTTATATCTATATTTTGTCAGAGACTGATACTTTTCTCCCAGAATCTTTTCTCTCTTTCTTCCTTTTCAATATGAAAACATAAATTGTTTTCCCACAAGCTGTCCAACCTGGTAGAGTTTTAATGGTTCACTTGGCTGCTTAGTTAGGAGACGACATAGCTTGTTTTTTCTTGATGTTAGAAGTAAGACGTAGAATGTAAAGCAAATGATATATGCATTTTCCATGACCTGTACTTAAGAGCAGCTGCTTACCTAATACTTTGTTACTTTTCCTGTGAGTTGGCGTACAAATATTATAGCAGTAAGCCAGATTAATCCATGTTCATGAGATAAATGCCCTAGAAATGATGGAGCCTGAGTATCTGTTTCACCTTGTAGGTCAGAGCTTCCAACTAGCCATTCCTTATCTATTTTTATACTTTTATATGTGAGATAAATAAAGTTCTGTCTTACTGAAACCACTGCCTTTGATGTTCTTCTATTACAATAACTCAGCTTATGTCTTAACTAACACACATTGTCTCACATGAGATTAGTGTATAATTTCATCCAAACAACTACAGTGAACTCATTTCTGACAAAGGTGCGAAGACCTTATACTGGGTGAAAGGGTCTCTTCAATACATGGTGCTGGGAAAATCAGATATTCATATGCAGAAGAATGAAACTAGACCCCTATCTCTCACCATACACAAAAATCCAATGCAATGTATTAAAGCCTTAAATGTAACATCTCAAACTATGAAATTACTAAAAGAAAACCTTGGGGAAAATCTGCAGGACGTGGGTTTGGGCAAAAATTTCATGGGCAATGTCCCACAAGTACAGGCAACAAAAGGCAAAAATGACAAATGAAATCATATCAAGTTTAAATGTTTCTGCACAGCAAAAGAGTTTGAAGGTTACATAAAAAACTAAAAGTTGAGCTACCGTATGATCCAGCAATTCTACTGCTAGAGTAGGTTTCTTTTGGTATATATCCTCCCCCGCAAAAAACAAACAAACAAACAAACAAAAAAAAAAAACAAAGCAGTATGTTGAAGACATACCTGCACTCTTATGTTTGTTGCAACACTGTTTACAATAGTAAAGATTTGGAAGCAACTTATGTGTCCATCAACAGATGAATAGATAAAGAAAATGTGGTGCCTATACACAATGGAATACCATTCGGCCAAAAAAAGAATGAGGCCCAGTCATTTGCAGCAACATGGATGAAACTGGAGATTGTCATGATAAATGAAATAAGCCAGGCATTGAAAGACAAACATCACATATTCTCACTTATTTGTGGGATCTAAAAATCAAAAACATTGAACTCATGGACATAAGAAAGTAGAATCATGGTTGCCAGAGGCTGGTAATGGTAGCAAGGAGTTGGGTTGGTGGGGAATTGAGATTAATTAATGGGCACACAAGAAAATAGAAAGAATGAATAAGACCTACTATATAATAGCACAACAGGGCAACTATAGTCAATAATAACTTAGTAGTATATTTTAAGATAACTTATGGAGTATAATTGGATTGTATGTAACTCAAAGGTTAAATGCTTGAGGGGATGGATCACCCATTCTCCATGATGTGCTTATGTCACATTGCATGCCTGTATCAAAACATCTCATGTACCTCATGAATACATACACTTACCATGTACTCAAAAATTAAAAAGAGAAGAAAATTAAAAGTATTAGATTTTGTTTATTAAATCTGAAAACCCTAAAATTCAAAACCAGAAACCAAGTAAAAAGTTATTTTCTCTTAATAAAAGGAATCTTAATATTGGAAGTCTGGAACAGCTATGATGCCCAAAGATACCAAAACAGGATTTTCATCCCATACTTGATGCTTCATATAACATGACATAATGTGTATTCAGAAAATTATTTTAAGACATAAATATTTTCTGGAGACCCTGCCATCATGACAGCTTCTTATAAATAAAGCATGGCAACATAGAAAGTAGAAAAATGGAAGTAACACTCTCCATTTCCCATATCTTTCCAGAGAGTCCTTCTCCCAAACGCTGTCTTGAACTTAGTCATCTTATTACATAACTATTGCTAACCCTGAGGAATATCAGAAAAAATATCTTTACCCAGGGTTAATGTCACCCCCAATGACTTAGAGCTTCTATCAGAAAGGCAGTAAAAAAGTTAGAGATAACTAGACATGTCTGCTACCAATAGTCTAATGAAAAGCTCCTTTTTTTTTTTTTTTTCAAAATTGCTCTCAGGTTTGTCAAGACTGATGAAAAAGCTTCACAACTTTGAAATATATTTTTTATTTACCTTTTTTTTTTTTTTGAGATGGAGTTTCACTCTGTCACCCAGGCTGGAATGCAGTGATGCAATCTCTGCTCATTACAGCCTCCGCCTCCAGGGTTCAAGCAATTCTTCTGCCTCAGGCTCATAAGTAGCTGGAATTACAGGCACCTGCCACCGGGCCTGGCTAATTTATTTGTTTTAGTAGAGATGTGGTTTCACCATGTTAGCCAAGCTGATCTCAAACTCCTGGCCTCAAGCATCTGCCCACCTTGGCCTCCCAAAGTGCTGGGATTAAAGGTGTGAGCCACCAGGCCAGGCCACATGTTAAAAGTATTTTAACTATTGTTTATAGATATATTTTAATGAATAATTAGAGACACATGTCAATCAGTGTTGGTTGTTAGTGAGTTAATAACTTTTCAATACTGTGCACACTCTAACGATTTGAAAATTGGAAAGTTAGAAAATTATGTCTTAAGTAAAAATCTCATAGCCAGCTCAAGTTTTTCACCAAAAGTGCCAATTTAAAATGACTTGCCTTGACAGGTGACAAATAAAATTGTATTAGAAACAAATAAAATACTTTACCCCTGCATTATTCTGATCTGAACTATACTTTTATCATTATAGTGAATATTTCAAAAATGTGTCATAGAATCCTGAAAATTTTAAATAAATATGCAAGAAAACATCATTCTTCAACTTATAAAGCATTGTTGTATTGACTGTGGTGACATTTTTGTCAATGAAGTAATGGTCAGAATTACTAAATCAGTTATTCTTCCTGTTTGCATCATTTATACTTGCTTTCTTAAAAAATAAGTGTGACTCAAGAACATCTTAAAAGTAATAGGTTTCTCTTTAACTCTCTGTTTTGATCTAGTAATTTTTTTAATTGAACATTGAGAGGTATAAAAATTAAATTGAATCAAAGATTGCAACTCAAAAAATAACAAAGCATTGTGACAGAACCGACCAAACCTTTTTGATGAAGTCATGTTTCTATATGGGGTAAGTCTAAGACATGCTAAAACTCTTTCTCAATGAATACTATAATCTAGGAATGGTGATTACAATTCCCAAAGACCCATAAATTGAAAATATGCTACATTATGACATTTCATTGACAATTACATGATTAAATAATTTAGTAAGAGAAGACATTAGGAAATATTCAAATTTGTATAAATGGGAATGTGTAATGATCATATCAGAGTAATTGAGATATCTATAACCTCAAACATTTATCTTTTTGTGTATGGGGATCATTACAATTTTTCTCCTATAGCTGTTTCGAAAAACACAATAAATTATTGTCAACTGTAATTTTCTACTGTACTATCAAATACTAGAACTTATTCCTTCTATAAAACTGTATTTTTTGCACATATAATCTAATTTGTCTTCAGTTCTTCACTTGCTTCCCTTCCATGAGATCCATTTTTTAGCTCCCACATGTGACTGAGAATACTTGAAGTTTGTCTTTCTCTGTCTGGATTATTTTATTTAACATAATACCTCTACCTCTGTCTATGTTACTTCAAATAACAGGATTTAAGTCTTTTTTATGACCAAATATTCCATTAGATATAAGTACCATTTTTTAAATCCATTCATCCATAATGGACACAAGTTGATTTCAAATTTTGGCTATTGTGAATAGCACTACAATAAACATGGGAGTGCAGATATCGCTTCAATATACTGATTTCCTTTCTTTTGTGTATGTATGTAACAGTGGGATTGTGGGATGACATGGTAGTTTTATTTTTAGTTTGTGAGGAACCTCCACACTATTTTCCATTATGGTTGTATTACTTCACATTTCCACTAACAGTATGTAAGCATGTTTTACTTTTTGATTAAAGTCATTTTAACTGGAATGAGATAATATCTCATTGTGGCTTCATTTGCATTTCCCTGATAATCAGTAAAATTGAATATTTTTAAACATACTTGTTGGGCATTTGCATGTTGTTAAAGAAATGTCTATTCATGTATTTTGCCCATTTTCTGATTGATTGTTTTATTTGCCAATGCTCTCATCATAAAAATGTTAAATATTTGAGATGATTAATATGTTAATTAACTCAATTTAATCTTTGCACAGTCTTTAAAATAGTAACATTATTATCCTATATAGCTACAGTTATAATTTGTGAATATGTAATTTTTTTTAAAAAAAACTAACTCGATTATGTTCACAAAGCTGTTAATTGTTAAAGTCTGGACTTGAATACAGCCTGAATAGCTCTAGGGTTCATATTGCTATATTAGGTTTTAAAAATAAACAAAAAGTCATTTAGTACCAAAGATCATTTCCTTTAATTAATATCATCCTAACTATGCTCAACACCCATTTGTTTTTTTAAAACGTGGGGTTTGGGGAGGAGAGCGTGAGAAAGAGAAAGGGTGAGTAAGAAGGGTTAAGAGAAAGGGGAAGGGGGCATTATAATTAAGCATGATTTCATTTGACTTAGTCATCTTAATGCCTACATTGATAAATTACTTACTTTACATACAAGAGTTGACACCACATGATAGATTCAGAAGATAAAAATTTACAAACATTAAAGATGTGTGAAATTATCCTGTACATTAATCTCAAAAAAAGTATTTGAAGCTGTTTGAATAATAATTTTGTGATACTTCCAACTGTCTCATATCTCATTTTATATGGCTGAAAACAAAAACTCTGTTTTGAATGAAACAATTTTAATTATTATTTATTTATTTTATTTAATCTTGACACAGTAGATATTCCCTACATATTAGCAATATCTAAGTTAATAGCCTAAAAAGAACGATAGCGGTAAGTCACATGAATACTAATAGGACAGACTCTAGAAATATAAACAACTCTAAAGTAGATAAATTAAAATAAAGAAAAGCATATGAAAAGCTTATCACTATATGATCTAAGACAAGTTATATACCATCCATAAATTTTACTTTCTTTCTCTGCAAAATAGATCTCATTATAGCACTTAACATATAAGCATATTATGAGGAAAAATGTCAGTATATAAAAAATGCATGGAACATAGCATAGCGCATAGTATGTGCTTATATAGCAGAGACTGTCATCATTATTATAATGATAATAATGAAATTATAAGGTGTGTATTAATAGCAATTTGATAATGATAGTATGGAAAATGGATTGTGTGTAGGAATGGTGACCTTCCCCCTACTCTGAAAATTCAATAATTTAAGTCCGTAAAAAATATTAGGCAGATTAACAGGAGAAAAAAGTAGGAATTTTAATATGTACATTGTATGTCATTAGGAAACCTCAATGAAAGGTAACTCAAAGTAATGGCATAGAATTCTGGCTTACATAACATCTTCAACAAAGAACAGTAAATTTTAGAGAGGTGGTAAGACAAGAAAAGCATTCCGGATGCAGGAAACTGTAGAAAGGTAAAATTACGCAAAAGGAAACAAATGGAGTAAAGTTTCTAGATTTCTCTGGTGCCATCTCTGAGCTGATAAAAGTTGTCTCAAGCAAAGGATAATTTGTATTTTCATTCTTAAGCAGAAATGGGAGTTAGAGAAATCTTTCTGTATTTACTGCTTCTTTGTTGGCCTTAGCTAAAATATATTTATGTAAAAGAGGAATATTTTAGGATGACATATTCTGGGTTTCTTCAATTGGAATGGGTAAATGTTGAGTCACAGCAATGAATTAGGAGACATTGCAGTAATCCAGACAATATACCGTATACAAGAAGAAGTGGGGGATTTCTGAGAAGCAAAAGTGAATGTCAGAGTTGGTCTCAAGAAGAACAATAGAGGCGTTCTAATCAATTGAGATAGAGGAGAATACTATCTGAGATACATTTAGGATAGAAGTCTATTGATAAATAAACCAGGAAGGAGAGTTTTTGCTGTGTCTGTGTTGTCCAGTTTACGGTCTGTTTACACCTTCAGTGGAAACTAGAGAAAATATTATTGATCGTAGCCAAGTGGAAGGGCTTCATTTGTAGGGTTTGGTAAAAAGACTATAATTAGTTTGATCAGTTGTGTGTATACAGCATCCAATTTTGTGAACCATTAGAAGATTTAAGATTTCAAGTCACTCTATACTGGTGAAGAGAAAAGACTACCCTATAATCTGTTGTCTCTTTGGTTATTTAGAGAGATTGAATTAATCTAAAGTTATAATACCAAAGAACAGCAGTCTTGACACAAAAGAAAAATAAAATTTTCATTACATTAAGCTCTTTTTTTACTATTTGAAATTATATAAAGTGTTTGATGAACAGAAAATTATACAGAAGTAGATATATGCATACCTTATTTTATTGTGCTACACTTTATTGCACTTTGCGGATATTATGTGTTTTAAAAATTGAAGGTTTGTGGTGATCTGCATCAAGCAAGTCTATTGACATTGTTTTTCCAAAAGCATGTATTCACTTCATGTCTCTCTGTCACATTTTGATAATTCTTACTAGTTTAAACCTTTTTTTTATATTATACCTGTTATGGTAGTCTGTGTTCAGTGATTTTTGATATCACTATCATAATTTTTTGGGGTTGCCAAACACCACACCCTTATAAGATGTTGAACTTAGTTGATACATGTTGTGTGTGTTCTAACTGCTCCAATGAGCAGACATAACCCAGTCTCTCTCCCTCTCCAGGGGCCTCCTTATTCCCTTAGACACAACAATATTTAAATTAGGTCAATTCATAACCCTACAATGGCTTCTAAGCATTCAAGTGAAAGAAACAGTCACAGTCACATGTCTGTCAGTTTAAATTAAAAACTGAAAATGATTTAGCTTAGTGAAGAGGGCATGTGGAAAGCTGAGAGAGGCTGAAAGCTAGGCCTCTTGTACCCAACTTAGTCGGGTTGTGAATGCAAAAGGAAAGTTCTTGAAGGACATTGAAAGTGTAATTCACTCCAGTGAACACATAAATGACAAGCAAGCAAAATAACAGAGTTGCTGATTTGAAAAACATTTTTAGTGGTCTGAAGCTCAAACCAATCACAGCATTCCCTTAAGACAAAGCCTAATTGAAAACAAGGACCTAACTCTCTTTCACTCTAAGAATATTCCAAAAGTGAGAAAGCTGCAAAAGAAAAATCTGAAGCTAGCAGAGCTGGGTTTATGAGGATTAAGGGTAAAAAAAACAAAAACAAAAACCTGTCTCTATAACATAAAAGTGAACCAGCAATTAGAAGCTGCTGTAAGTAATCCCAATTTAGCAAAGATAACTGATGAATATGTCTATAATCTAAACAATAGATTTTCAATGTAGATGAAATACCCTCATATTGTAAGAAAATCCCATTTATGACTTTCATAACTATAAAGGAAACATCAACGCCTGGTTCCAAAACTTCAAAGGGACAGGCTGACTCTCATAGAAGTAGCTAATGCAGCTGATGATATTAAGTTGAAGCCAAAGCTCATTACCATTCTGAAAATACTGCGGCCTTAAAAATTATGCTAAATCTACTCTGTGTGTACTTGATAAGTAGAAAAACAAAGCCTGGGCGACAGCACATCTGTTTATATGTTGGTTTACTGAATATTTAACGTCCACTGTTGAGACCTACTGCTCATAAATAAAGATTCCTTTCAAAATATTAATGCCTATTGATGACATATCTTGTCATCCTAGACTTCTGATGGAAATATACAAGGAGATTAATGTTGTTCTGATGTTTCCTAATACAAAGAGTAATTTCTTTTTCCAAGTCTTATTATTTAAGAAACACATTTCCTAAAACTATAACTGTGTTACATAGTGATTTCTCTGACAGATCTGGGCCAAATAAATTTAAAATATTCTGGAAAAGATTCACCATTCTAGATGCCATTAAAAGGAATTGTGATTCATGGGAGGAGGTTACCATGTCAACCTTAACGAGAGTTTGGAAGAAGTTGATTCCAACCCCCATGGAGGCCTTTGAGAGGGTCAAGACTTCAGTGGAGGAAGTAACTGCAGACATGTTAGAAATAGCAAGACAACTAGAAATAGAATTGGAGAATAACGAAGTCACTGAACTTCTACAATCTCATGACAAAACTTGAACCAGAGAAGACTTGCTTCTCATGTAAATGAGTAAAAAATGTGTGTTTTTTTTTAGATGGAATCTTCTCTTGGTGAAGATGCTGTGAACATTGTTGAAATGATAGCAAAGGATTTAGAATAATACACAAACTTAGTTGATAAAGCAGCAGCAGAGCTTGAGAAAACTGATGCAATTTTGAAAGAAGTTCTACATTGGGCAAAATACTATGTCAGCATTGCATTCTACAGAAAAAAATATTTTATGAAAGAATAAATTGGTACAGCAAATTTTATTGTTGCCTTATTTTAATAAATTGCCACACCCACCCCAATCTTTAGCAAGGAAAATCCTGATAAGTCAGCAGCCATCAACATAAAGGCAAAACCTTTCACCAACAAAAAGATTATAACTTGCTGATGGCTCAGATGATTGTTAACATTTTTTGGCAATTAAGCACTTTTTAAACAACATTTGTACATTGTGTTATTAGATATACTACTATTGCATGCTTAGACTAGAGTATAAAAATAACTTTTATATGCACTGGGAAACTAAAATACTTGTATGACTCACTTGATTTCAGTAGTCTAAAATTAAACCCACAATACTTCCAAGGTGTGGATGCATAGATAGTTACAAAAGGAAGGAAACAAACCTAGGGCCTCTAAGCAAACTGTTTAAGACTAAGAACATTGTTAACAGTATTGAAAGTTCATGTATGTGATTAATTCTTTTCTTACCTTCCACATATATACGGACTATTGAATACATTCTGACCTAAGTCTTATTGATAGATTTGTTTCTGCAGCACCTAGAATAGTACTTTATTTATAGATGATTTTCAGCATATATTTTTTAGTTGAATGTAATCCAGGCAAAAGACAACATGCAGTAATAAAAAAATACAAGAAAAATTGTTTTTCAGGAAATGAAAATTAAGATATGTGTATTTTTGCTCTTTAAGTTTAAATATTTGATACAATTTATGACACATTGGATTTAAAATGCTAGTAGTGATGGCATCGGTCACTCCAGATGGCCTGCCGCTGCCTTCATACTGGCTGTATCAGGGACATGTGGGCAGGGCTGCAAACTCCATGGAGCCGATGGGGACAGGGGAGAAGTGGGAACCCTGCCCCTTCTGAGTTGGAGAGGAAGCTCCCTGGGTGCCGCTGCTGATGCCTAAACTATGTCTGCAGACTCAGGCAGCCCTGCACTCTTGGGGGCCCAGGAAGGACCCCCCTTCCCTGGCAGGCTCAGAAGTGCCTGATCCTGCTGCCTGGCTTCTCCCTGCTGTCGGTGCCCACTTTGATCTTGGATCAAAGCCGAGGCTGATCCCTGGTGCCATGACGGGCAGCAGCAAGCAGACAGGCTTCTGAGTGGAAGGGGGCAAGTTCCTGGTGAGACTCCACCTTCAGGCCAGGGAGGGCCTGAAGGTCGGGCTCTCAGTCCCACAGACTGAAGTGGGAACTTGTGGTGCCTTTTCTGGGCCCACCCATTGCCACCCATGTACCAATCAGTGCGCATTTTCTCCCCTCTGAGGCCCATTAAAACCCTGGACTCAGCCAGATTGAGCAGATGGCAGAACGACCAGCTGCGTGGAGGAGCTATCCTCTCTGCTGAGAGCTTCAGAGACTTGTAGAGAGGTCAAGACTACCACCTTCAAAGAGGAGTAACCCATTTCAGTATATCCTCTCTGCTAGGAGCTGGGCAGATGTCAGGATGACCAGCTGCAGAGTGAAGCTACCCTCTCTAGGGCCTCGGCTCTGATGAGAGCTGCAGAGACAAGATGACCTGCCTGCAGAGAGGAGCTACCCACTGCAGGTCTCCTCTGAGCTGTTGTAACACTCAATAAAGCTCCTCTTTATTTTGCCCACCACCCACTTGTCCACATACCTCATTCTTCCTAGATGCAGGACAAGAACTCGGGCAAACGTGCAACCAGCCACAGAGGTTTCCAGCCAGAAAAGTGACACCCCAAAGATCCTGTAACAGTAGGTCAATAGAGGATTTAGGAATAAATCGTGCTGGCCTCCTATGCATCCATCTCTTTGCCATTTTTGTCAATTCTTTTCTGATTGATTACTCTAGATTTGGTACATAATTCTAATGTGAAACTGTTGCTTCCTCCCCACTGTATTTTTTTTTTTTTTTGAGACGGAGTCTTGCCCTGTCTCCCAGGCTGGAGTGCAGTGGCACAATCTTGGCTCACTGCAAGCTCTGCCTCCTGGATTCACTCCATTCTCCTGCCTCAGCCTCCCAAGTAGCTGGGACTACAGGCCCCAACACCAAGCCTAAGTTTTTTTTTGTATTTTTAGTAGAGACGGGGTTTCACCGTGTTAGCTAGGATGGTCTCGATCTCCTGACCTCGTGATCCACCCGCCTCCACCTTCCAAAGTGCTGGGATTACAGGCGTGAGCCACCGTGCCTGGCTGCTTCCTCCCCATTGTTTAATAATGGACACAATTTTTTTTTGTTCTTATGTTATTTTTCAAAGTTCATCTTCCATTAGCTTAAAAAAAAAGATCCATGGTTCCTCCTTTGCAGCTTGGCAATCAAACTAAAAAAATTGAAAGCAATATAGTCTCAGAAAAGTGAAGACATTATTTCACTGTTTTCTTATGATCAATTGCTACTAAAAATGGGAAGTTAAGTATATTCAGTATTATAAATGTAATTATTTAAAAAATTAAATTTGGAGAATGGGAAGTGGAGGTAAGGAGTTGAGACATTACTAGAAAATATCCTTTCAAATGAACATTTTCGCCTTACTTTTGTTTAGTGGAGGAATGATTAATATATGATAGATATGATAGAATTCACTAATTGAGTTGGGCTATTTCCTCTAGACCAATAAATAACCTAGAAAAGCTAAATATGTACATATATATCTCCTCTGCAGTGGAATGAACACAAAATTGGTTACCCTTTTGTACCTTGGTCTTGTTATCATTTGAAATAAGATGCCATTTCCATCTTGAGAGACCAGATTATTATTTATTTACAGGGTCTAGATACTGGAAAGGGAGTTTGTAGTCACTATAATATTCTTACCTTTACAAGGCTTAAAGGTAATTTTCTTTTTGTGTTTAACTCAAAATTTTACAATACCAACAGCAAAACTAATTAAAAATAATGTAATCAGTTTGAGGGAATGGAGAATAAACACATAGCAGAAATAATCCCAAATAATTTTTGAACCAAATAATTTTTGTTCTAAAATGCCACTGCTTATATTAGTATCCTCATTTTATTTATTTTTAATTTCAGAAATCTTTATCAATTTAATGCATTCACGTAGATCAAACTATATTAAATACTTCTGGAAATTTATAATAATCATAGTTTTAAAATATCCTGCAGTGTCATGTCTAGCTCTCATAACTGCTACCAAGAAATATTGACTTTTAACAATTTTAAGTTAGTTACTTCTTCTGATAATTATGGTTACATAATGTGGTATAATATGCTCTTATAGCAGTATATATTAATTTTATTCTATGGCATTTGAGTATTTCACACTTATTAAAAAAATTTAACCTCCACTTTTTCTTCTTCTCTGCACCCATCTTTCTAGTAGCAATGTATCACAGTATTTGGTTAAATTAGTGGGCATTACATTTCATTTTGAACACAAAATAATAAAGAAAATTTGTATTATTTGCACATGACGTTCTTACCTTTTATTTGTATTTTATAGATGTTATTCACCTCCTTAATTTTTACATTTTATTATTATATTTTCAAATGCTTACTAGATCTATCATATACCCAATGATAGCATGTCCAGTCTTGTGACATAAGATAATTTTTTAATTGTATTATATTTTTCTTTTTGACCTTCTATGCATCCATCCTTTTACCATTTTTCCCAATTTTTTTTCTGATAACTCTACATTTGGTGAAATTCTACTAAAAATTATCTCTTCCTCCCCATTTGTTAATGGATACCATTTCTTTTTGTTCTTATGTCATTTTTCAAGGTGAATCTTCCATTAGCTGAAAAAAAAAAAAAAAAAAAAAAGACGTATGGTTCCTCCCTCACAGTTTGGCAATCAAACTGCAAAATTGAAAGTAATATAGTCTCAGAAGTGTAAAGGCATTATTTTACTGTTTTCTTAAGACTGATTGATACTGCTGAGAAATATGATACCAATCTCATTCAAATCTCACTTCATGTGACTTTTTTTTTAACTCTGTAAGCTCTTAGTATCTACCTATTATTTATTGCATACTGAAATTTTCAGGGATGTAACCAATATGCATATATATATGTATGTGTGTGTGTGTATATGTGTGATATAAATATATGTGTGAGTAATTTTTTATTGTAGTGAACACTTGGTAGTTTTTTTTAGTCTTGAAACTCAAATCTTGTATATTCTGTGAAATTCGAATTATTCAAATAAAAATGAAGATGTTCCTATCTTTTCTCTTCTTTTTTCATCATAACAATGTTTTGTATGAATATAGAACCCAATAATTAGCTAATTTAATGTTCTATATTTTTAAAAAATGAATATTATTTACCATCTCTTTTCTTCTCTGAGCTTTTCTCAACTTCATGTTCTAATCCTCTTGTTGAATTTTTGCATTTCCTTGTCATGCTTCTTATTTTCTAAATATGTTCTTTTTTATCAATTCTTTTATTTTTGCATTATTTCAATTCTATAGCAACCTTTTGTTTTAGATGTAAACTCTTATAGATTCAGTGATAAGGGATCATGGTGTGGCTTCTCTGTCTTGTTTAATTAGAAGTCTCCTTTATTATAGAGGTAAGATTATTGTTCCCTATCTCATTTTTCAATAATCAGCTTTGGAATTTCAAGTCATTTGGGTTTAATTTCTAACAAAAATTTACTTCCTCTGATTTTTTTTTTTTTTGCAAAGTTGCCTGCTATTATACAAGTATTGCAGGAATTATCTCGCTCTGAGAATGGGCAACATTATAGGGCTAGCCAATTATTTTCAAACACATATTCCTAATTCCAGTTGTAGGATGGATGGATAGCCACATTTTATATTATTTTACTCTTTTTTCTTCTTTCTCTTGATTAATTAAAAAACAACAATTTCAATATAAAAGAGCTAATTAAGAAAACAAAGATTACCATGAGAAATATATTGATTTTTTAATCTTTGATTCTTGTATCTTGGAAAAAATGGTTTAAAAGTCTAAAACAAAACCATATATTTGGAAAAAAATAGCAGTATTACCACACCTCTTATAAGCTATATATATCTGCTTTGAAAATAACATATTGAATTGTTTTTTATTTTTGTTCATTAATGTAGTTATGGTATGAAATAATTTATTTAATAATTGACATACTGTATGAAGCAAAATATACAACTTAAATTTTGAAATAGAAGTGTGACTTTTGATATGTAAAATAATATAAGTTGTATATGAACATCATTGTTATGATTAAAGAAAGGACTACACTTTCTTTATATAGTCTCATTTTTTCTAACCACGAAGTTAAATATATTTGTTTTATTTATTTATTTTATTTGTTCTAAGATAATAATTAAGATAGAATTTCATAAAAATTGGAATTAGAAAAGAAAGAAGGGTAATTATTTTAATCTAATTTTTTAGGCTTCTTCAGTATTGAAGATTTTTAAGCAATTATAGAAAGACTTGCTTTTACTTTGTTTAGTTTTTACTTTAAAAATTTCAACAATCCAAGGCGTATGTCATTCCTTTTCCATTATATCTTCCTTTTCAAAAATTAATTAAAAACTTTTTTCTAGGTCAATACAAAAAAACTTTAAGTTACTCTGAAATGCCTAATTCTATCTATATGTCTTTTCACAAGAAAGCAGACAGACTTCTGGCTCTTTGAAATGTTTGCCTTTAATGGTCTACTTTATAGACAATGTCTACTTCTGGGTTAAAAGCCCCTGGACATAGTTTTCATGCCCTACGTAAGTCATTATCTACAAAGGCTCTTCCTATACCGGATTCCCACAGAAGATGTCTGAGCATAAATGAAGACTTCATTTCCATTTTAACTCTTCAAGAGGAAAGTCTGAAGGAATCCTGAGCTGGTGAAAGGCAGAATGAAAGAGGGAGTTCAGCCCAAGTAGAACCTTGACATTGATATGAAAGTAGTTTTGATGAAAAGACCTTTAGACTGACATCCTTCTGATATCCAGTGGGTCTTGATTTCAGTATCTAAAGAGAATACCTCATCATTCCATTGAAATGAAAGTTTTTTTTAATAAAGTGTAACATTTGCTCTATAATGAGAATGATTGATAACGGCAGAACCCATGTTTATACATTACAAGATATGAAAGGTTTCTAGATGGTAAATTAAGACAAAAGTTTGAGAAATAAAATAAATCTGGGTTTGAAACTTAGCTTCACAACTTTCTAAAAGTGTGAATGTGCAATTCATTTAGAGTAGATATCTACTTCCTTCTTTATCTACGAAAAGGGGGCTTCTACTAGGTCTCAGGGCTAAATATTAAGAGTGCATAAATTAGCTCAGCCTGCTAAAAAACACCCACAGAATGGTATGGCAAAGAGAGAGTGCTGGCCTCTCTTTCTCTTTGGGTAAGGATATTCACCCTATCAGGGAGGTCCTACACTCAAAGTCGCGTCCAAACCTAATTACTGCTAGAAAACCTTACCTCCAAATACCATTGTATCGAGGATAAGGGGTTCAACATATAAATTTTGTGAAGATACAAACATTTATTCCATAACAAAAGAAACATTGTATGGAACTACTCAGAGAGGGACCCTGGTGTAAACTGGAAATAAAGTCAGCTTCTTAGAAAGTACACTGCTTGTGAACTGTGAAAGGGAAATAAAGGAAAAATTAATTGACATACAGTTGATGTATGAGTTCTGAGTTGGAGCTGACTACAGAGCCCTGTCTACTATGTATAGGAGGCAATAAAGAAATTCAGAAAGCAGTCACCTTGTTCTTCAAGTCCCAATAGCCCTAGGTAGTCCACTTTCTTCTGTCTACCTTTCCAAGCCTTCCTATGCTTGTTTGTTTTATTAGGTCAAGAGTTTTTTAGTCGTAAGAGGGATGGCCTTTAAGGAATAAGCCTACACCATCTTGGTGAGAATCAAAATTTTAACTTATGTAATAACCAGATTTCTATTGGTTGCTATGATTAAATGTGTCAATCACCATTTAAAGTTACTTTATTAATGATGTCATAATTTTAAAATGGGCACATCATGTGGAATATGCTTTTTGAATTCAATCTTTGTGTATTAACAAACTCTTCACTTATCCATGAAATTTTGTGATCTCCTACAAGTTGGCCACTTTGTTTAGTTTTGTTCATTGTTATTATGTTAATAAAAATAAGTAGCTTTAAATATCTTCATGCATTTTTTTACACACACATTTTAAGATTACTGAACTGTTAGTGGAGATTAGAATACAATCCAAGTGAACTCTAGATTTTTCACATAACTTCATCTGACTTGTACTTCTAATTTTTAGTGTAATTCACCTCATGTTTGAAAAGAGAGAAAAGGTTTTTAGCTAGTGATGGGAAGACTACAGGCTGATTGAGAAAATATGAGAGACACTGAAGAGGAAGTGTTAATTTTTAAATATTTCAGTTTAGGAATAACCTTTCATTTTTACATAAGCTTTTTGCTGTCCTATATGTGATAATATATATTCAGAAAATATTTTTAAAAATAAGAGGTATTTTCCAACATGCCTAATTAGTATGGAAATATATTCTTGTCAGTGATAATTTTAGTTGAAAATAATCATTTATTATAAGTGAGGCAAAATCCTAAATTATTAGATGTATTATTTTGTGTAATTCTCACAACAGCAGACTTTTAATGAAGATACTTACTAAATTTATTTATGAATTTTGATTCAATTTTAAGCACTTATTCTAAGTAAAAAAAATCATTGTTTAATTGTGGTTTTCAACTCAATTCTAATAAATGTATTGTAAAAATTAAATGAATACCCAATATTATTTGTAGAAGTTCTTTTGCCCATTCCTGTTATGATCAGAAAAACAAAATAATTTAAATACTTTTTAAAACTAAAGTATTTAATATAAAACTGTCAAAAATAAATTTTATATAATTAAAATATAGAACGTTTATTTCACTTATTAAAATGCACAATGTGACAGAAATTTAATATTAAAAAATAATACATGTAGAATAATGTAATGTTTATAAGATTATATAAACACATAATATCCAAAAATTTTAATCCAGGCTATGGCATTAAAATTTTTAGATTTAATTTTCTTAGTGTATATCTACGTGTAGTTTCTCATTTCTCTCTCTATACTCTATTTGAGATGCATTTCTTACTAGAAATGTATAATATTCTAATTTTATTTTAAATGTGCTTATTAGAGTTTGTGCAGTTTACTTATAAGATTTTAACTTCTGATAACTAACTTTTAATTTTAAGTTTCTCGCCAATACTCTTCTTCATCTTTTCTCATTAACATTTCTGTTTTGTTTTACAATTTTGCATGTCTTTGAATGTCCTATACATACATATTATAAAATTTTCAGAAGATTATTCAACCAAATCATTGTTATAAGGAGGTAGTTTTAAAAATGTATTGAGCTATACTACTTCACTCATAATTTCTTAGTATGCTTTAGGATATTAGTTTAAACTCTCAACTTATATGACAGCCTCTCTCTCTCTCTCTCCCCATCCTTCTTTCTCTTAGAGGAGTTAGAAGTTACTTCTTTGTGCTGATGTGGTGATGCATGGGATGTTACAGAGCCAGCCACAGAAATAATTGACAGCTGGACCCAGCTCCTGTTTATAAGGTAAGACCTGGTCTTCCATCTTTCTTATTCTGTTTTCTACAGTCTGTAGAGATTTCGTTATTTGGCAAGAGTTTTTCAGAGCTTTAATTAGTGCCATGAGAATGAGTTAGCAGGGATAGTATGAGTCCCTGGATTGAAACATCAGTTAACCATGTGCAGAGCTCCACAGAGGCACACCTCCAGCTGAAAGTCTCAGCTCTGGAGAAGAGCAGACCCATGGCTTTATCTGGAATCAATTTCCAATAAAATAGAAATATAAATTAGCTTGTATTTGAGCGCAGTTATACATTTTGTTACTTACTTTTAGAATTTATTCCTTACACTTGGTAGACAGTCATTTATCAAAGCATAAACTCACTCATTTATCTTAATCTAGAAATAAATTTCTATCGTAGTAAGGAAAAAGTTACATAAATTTGGAGATTACAAGATCATTTTAAGACTTATCTGCCATCATATTATCATGAATTTTTAGATGTAATTTATTTTATGAAGCAAGGAATGCACTGTTTACTTGCTATCTTTGCTTGCACAAGAACTAATTATGTAAATGGTCACAGATCTGAAAATAATTACTGTCAACATATTTTTCAGAACTGTCACTTTGACAACACTATCTAATTATATACTAAGTCAAAGGATTATAAAATATAATAACTATAAAGACTATATTTTGGTAATGCCACGTGTAATTGTAATTGATGGAGTCTTTCCATAGAATGTTATCCAATTAAAATACATTCAAAGGTAATACAAAATTAACGTCTGTTTAGATAAGGAATTGCTTCAACTTCAGATATCAGGGAAACATACCAACATTGGTTTAAATGTATTTATGGTTTTTTTTTTTTACTTTTATTTTAAGTTCAGGGGTACATGTGCAGGACGTGCAGATTTGTTACATAGGTCTAACGTGAGTTATGGGTGTTTGTTGTACAGATTATTTTATCAGCTAGGTATTAAGCCTTGTATCCACTAGTTATCTTTCCTGATCATCTCCCACCTTCAGTAGGCCCCAGTATGAAATGTTCTCCTTTATGTGTCCACGTGTTCTCACAATTTAGCTCCCACTTATAAGTGAGAACACACAGTATTTGGTTTTCTGTTACTGCATTAAACTACTAAGGATAATGGCCTCCAGCATCATCTATTTCCCTACAGAGGACATGAACTTATTCTTTTTTATGGCTGCACAGTATTCCATGGCGTAGATGTACCACATTTTCTTTATCCAGTCTATTATTGATCGTCATTTAGGTTGATTCCATGTATAATATTTGTTATTGTGAATAGTGCTGCAATCAGCATATGTGTGCATGTGTCTTTATAATAGAATGATTTATATGCCTTGGCATCTATATCCAGTAATGGGATTGGTGGGTCAAATGGTAATTCTTTCTTTAGGTCTTTGAGAAATCACCACACTGTCTTCCACAATGGTTAAACTAGTTTACACTCTCATCAACAATGTAAGGGTGTTCCTTTTTCTCTACAACCTCACCAACATCTGTTATTTTTTGACTTTTTCATATTAGTCATTCTAACTGGTGTGAATTGGTATCTCATTGTGGTTTTGATTTGCATTTCTCTAATGATCAGTGATATTGAGCTTTTTCCATATGTTTATCAGCCACACATATGTCTTCTTTTGAGAAGTGTCTTTTCATGTCCTTTGCCCATTTTTCAAAAGTTGCTTATTTTCTTGTAAATTTGTTTATGTTCTTTATAGATGCTATATATTAGACTGTTGCCAGTTGTACAGTTTGCAAAATTTTTCTCCCATTCTACATGTTGTCTGTTTATTCTGTTGATAATTTTATTTGCTGTGCAGAAGCTTTTTGGTTTAATTGGATCCCATTTGTCATTTTTTACTTTTGTTGGCATTTGTGGTTCTTAAGAATATTTACAGCATCTAGTACTCAATTAAATAACAGTAAATATAGGTTTATTATTAGCATTATTATTACTTTTGCTCTACACACCTTAGAATGTTATTTACTTGTTTCTGCTCATATATATGTATATCTTTTAATGAGTTTCGTCTTCTAATGTCAAAGTCAAGGTAGATGGTAGAAATGGGGGCAACAAAACCTTTATTTTTAAAATTGTCTTGTTTGTCCCATTAATTAAGCATCAGCAGTTTCATTTTGTTTTAGAACTCTTCAACTCTTCTTTGCCAAAACTCAGTCAAATGTCCTTATTTGGCTACAAGGCAGGCCATGATAATTTAACCATGTGTCTGTAGCTGTTAAATGTAAAACAACTATGAGAATCAGATTTCTATCCAATTAAAATAGTTCTTCCAACTAGTCATTTTCACAGTTTGTGACTAGTTTGACAGGCTACTATCTTTTCTGTGTAGCAACGATACATACTTGTTTAACATTAAACTATGGTTTTGTGATTTTTACATATTTGAGAGAATGAAAAGAATATAAAATTTCCAATGAGGCTTTACTGAGGACGTAATTCAAAGGAATAGAAAACTTCTAAAAATCTTTCAAATTGATTGTCAATTAATGGGTTGTTATTCCTGAAAAATAATTAATAACTTAATTTTTTAAACATCACTGACAATATCTTATCAATGGATCAATCAGATATTAAAATTCAACAAGTTGAATAAAATATAAAGCCATTTCTACATAAATATGAATTAAGGTAGCATTTCTGAGAGAAAATTTTTAAAAAACTAACAATATTGGCATGCAGATATAATTCTGTATAATGTGTTGAAGATTCAGTGATAGTGTTTATTATAAAATAAACAGTTTTGTATAGGATTGTTGGAGTAATACATTAACTATATTTTAAATATTGTAATTGAGTTATCATTTTACTACATAATTATTATTTGGATGGGAAATCGAGTATATAAAACAAATACAAGGGCAACACATTATTATAAATGATAATATTTTATGAATACCAAATGATGTGTTTGTAATGGTTCAAAAACAAGTACTCAGAAAATAAATAAATAAATAAATAAATAAATAAATCTTTATTAAAAGTAATTTAGGCTGACTTCAGTATTTCACCACATATAATTCATTTGTGCATGAAGTATACCTCAAATTATAAATTGAATATATAGTTATCAAAGTTCAATAAGGAAAACAACAAAAACAAAAGTTCAGATATTTTCAGCAGAAATATAGAGAAATAAGTACTTACAAATTGTTGGAAGTACAGGAGAAACAGATGTCAAGTGAGGATGTTACCCCCAAATAAGGAAACTTCAGGAGGCTGCAGATGAACCCAGGGTGATCTACATATTTGAAACCAGATAATAAAAATGGATCATGAAGTCTAAGAAAGATGTAAGAATCCTGGGTTAATTTTGCAGCCAGCGTCTTCCGAATCCCACCCAAATACCTCTTAGTAGAGGAATCTAAAGAAGAGATACACTGGGAATGGATTTCAGAAAATGTATTTCGTATTTCCATCACTTGAATACATTTGGGGGATGTGAGGATAACCTGCAGACAATAGACCATAATTGGTACAAAAGCACATGTTTAAACTCACCAAGATACTGTATTACTTAAAGATTTGCTACATGCTTTATGTTATATTTTACAAAGCTAATTATTTATTTTATTTTAAATTAAAACCTATAACGTAACTATTATATGCTAGGACTTATTATAATATAATGTGGAGTGGCAAATCAAGAGAGTAAAATATTATTTTATAAAGCATAGCACATTTATTAAAATGTATAGCATATCAATCTTATAAATCCATAGCATCATGAAACGCAGATATTAGAGGGAGGATCCATGTGTAGGAAAGTATATTTCTTAAATTGGGTTCTGGAAGCGTGAACTTACCTTTCTATAAATTATAGTGTAAATTGAAAGGACATTGTTAAAAATATTTTTATCTTATTGAAACCTTGAATTTCCTTGAGCTTTTCAATTTTATATAAGAAAATATAACAATCTTGTGATAAAAACATGAAATTCCTACAGGATACAGAGCTATATCTACCATCACAGTTTCAACAGGGAGATAAAAGAAAGTTGACAGTAACTTTGAAAGGCATTTATTACTACAGCCCTGAGGATTGTAAAGCTCTTAAGTTGGCTGTGCTGAATTTAACAATGAAAGGAGTTACATGTTTGTTCTCTTTATCAGCCCCAAGGGAGTAGTATGTTTTAAAATAATATGTTATTTTATGTAAGTAAAGGTTTGGGCAGAAGTTCTACACATCTATTAAGGTGATGTTTACACATTTTTTTCTTTAGAGGAAGTGTAGAAATTCTGGGCTTCTTTTAAAGTATAAAATAAGTTGTAAAAACATCAAATCCCAATAAATCTTTAACCATACATTATTATATTTATATATTCCATGTAATTATATAGCACATGTAATCTATAAAATGTATACAATATAATTATAATCTATAGTATTACATATTAATATATATGAATATATGTATTTATATATAATAGTGACTTGTAAAACTTGCAAAACATGCTTTCTCTCCTTAGCATTGTCAAAATAAAATGGAAAATATTAGTGTACAATATTATGCTCAAAAATATTATTTTTCATAGACCATTTCAAAATCATAAACTGAAGTATGTATCTGGCAAGGAAGTATTAAGAGACACTCCAAATACTCTCCTTGGTGCGAGACACAGTCCTCTTGCCCTCATTGTCTAGTAGCAACTGAATTTCCCCTTCGTAATTTGATCACTCTATCCCTTAGAGCCCCTCCTTTTTCTGCTTGTTGGTTCGGTGGCATAGGAATGAAGAAAAGCAAAAATTCTGCAAGTATCTACTAGTGAGAGGAGCCACTTCCTCTACTATTAGATAGTAGCAGAATTCTACTCTTTGAGTTCTAGATCCACATATCCTGGATATGGGGGAGAAAGCACCGATCATAGTAGTCCCTGCTTATCAGTAGGGAATGAATTCTAAGACGCCCAGTGGATGACTGAAACCGTGGACTGTACCAAACCCTATATATGCCATTTTTCCTATACCTACATACTTATGATAAAGTTAAAATTAACACAGTAAAAAATTAGCAACAATGATAAATAATAAATACTAATAAAATAGAAAAAGTATAATGATATATGGTCATGAATGTTATGTGAATGTAGACTCTGTCTCTCTGAAAATACTGTAAGACAATGTTTGATCATGGATAACTGAAATTGCAGAAAGCAAAACCACAAATAAGGGGGCACAACTTTAATAATGCTAATTCAATATACATGTAGCAACTGCAAGACAATATCCTAGTTTTTTCAGGTAGTTATCTTCCACTTGGTACTGTAACTGAGTCTTCAGCAAGCAATTCTACCTTTCAGTTAGGTAATTGAATGTCTGTTGTTGAGGTAATGTGTAGCCTTCTTGTCTGCCACCATGGCCAGTATATTTATGCATCCATTGACCAAGCACAGGAATGACCAAGAAAAGACTTATGACATCCACAGAACATGGCATTTTGTTCACCTCATTATTAAAATCCTTCTCTGTTATGGATACTATGTGTCTCCAAACATATGGGACACAAACCTCTTCACAGTGTAGGCTTCTTCTGGAAATTTCATTATGATACTTTTTTCACTTATTACTAATCTTCCAATCCTGTTTCATCCAAACAAACCATAGTACTTCCCCTAAATCAATGCAAATCGGTGTTTCTGGTCACCTATCACATATCTATAAATTATAGTATAAATTGAAAGGTCACCTATCACTTCATACATAATAGGCCTCCAAAAGTACCCTTCAAAGTTCTGCTTACTAGAAGGATGTTCTTTCACCACTGTCCTTCAAGGTAACCTGTGAAAGTGTGTAGTGTTGTATTTGTCCACTTTCAGATGGTATCAGCATGTCAGACATAACCACATATAAATCAGGCTGAAGATTTTCTTTTCCCTCAATCAACTGTTCAAGAAGAGTACCCTAGCAGTACATAAACATGGATTTAGGCAGGGAGGGCAATGCAACAGGAGTTGGTATTGATGTGGTCTGAGCCCCCTGCTTATGCAACTTACTTATACCTTCCAGATCTACCTCTGCTTAATAGCTTATTTATCATTTTTCTTTACTAATATTTTGCTATGGCACATGCAGAAATTTATGGCTAGATGCTTGACACAATATCAATTTCATAATGAGACCTTAAGCTGCATGGTCACCTGCTGCCCTGCCTCCACAGCAGGATGTGCAAAGGGATAGAGGTGTTGGACATAGGGTTGGGGATTCATTAACAAAATGTATTATAGACATATAATGGTTACTGAGTAAATATTTCTTACTATATGATTCTAGCATATCAGCATGACTTTTATATATTAGGAAAAGTATACTTTTAAAAGATTATCAAAATGTTCAAATTTCAAATTTACGTAAAAACAAAAATATCAATATATCTTGGTTTTGTTTAAGGACCAAATAGTTAGGTCATTAACATATAAACATATCAATTTTTCCCCAGATTAAACCCATAATATTCTCCAATATTTAATGATAATTACATGTACTCTGAATAATTTTTAAAACATGGGTATTTATGGACTTGTTTAGTCATTGAATATGATGGAATAAATAACAATCTATTATTTAAATTGCTTTACTTAAATAGCTATTTTTATAGATATTAAGATTTTCTATTATTTAAACAGCTATTATTGTAGATATTGAAATTTTTAATATTTGGAAGAATAAACTACAGTAAACCCAACCATTAATCTTTTTCAAAAATTTTAATTAAGAATTTCAAAGAGAAAGTAAAAATGTCCATAAAACCATCTGATACAAATGGTCAGACTGGACCCTATAGCATAATGAATAAACTAGCATAAATAAGATATTAATAATGAAGTGCAGATATTTCAAATGTAATATAATTAAGGGAAAGGCTTCTGCAGCCTCAATACAAAACAAGTTTTCCTTGAATTTCTGAGCTCTGAGTAGTTTACTACCAAATGGTTTAAAAAGGCCAACTCAGGTGTGCAATTTTAAATTGTTTGGGAAAATAAAATAGATGGATGTTGCACTCTGTGCCATATATTTATATATATACACGTATATGAAAAAAGCATCTCAGAAATTATAAAGTACTCAAAATAATTTTACCTCATTCTCTATGATTTATGGGCAATATAGACATTCTTCTAATCAACAAGAATGCATGTGATATGGTTTGGCTGTTTCCTCATCCAAATCTCATCTTGAATTATAGTTCCCATAATCCCCACATGTCCTGGGAGGGACCTGGTGGGAGGTAATTAAATCTTGTTCATGCTGTTTTTGTGATAGTGAATAAGCCTCACAAGATCTGTTGGTTTTATAAAGGGCAGTTCCCCTGCACATGCCCTCTTGCCTACAGGCATGTAAGACATGCCTTTGCTCCTCTTTTGCTTTCTGTTGTGATTGTGAGGCCTCCTCAGCCGTGTTGAACTGTGAGTCAATTAAACCTCTTTTCTTTATAAATTACGCAGTCTGAGGAATGTCTTTAGTAGCAGCGTGAGAACGGACTGATACATCATGCCATATAAAAATTTAAACACTGTAAAAATACATCAAAACTTACTATAAAGGATGCATTTTAGAAAGAAAATTTAACTAAATGTATAGCCATTTTGATTGAGGGAGAAAGGAAAGAAAGTTATCCAGGGACCTACATTTTTACCAAACAATTCCAAATAAAGAAAATAAAAGTAGTAAGAATTTTATATTTATCTTTGTAAATCAATGAGTTTTGGAGTGGTATGGCACATGATTGACAACTAGAACCATTACTCTCCTTTATTCCAGTATTTTAAATAATTTGGGATTATATATCAAAATATGATCAGGTAATTGTTCCCAGGTCAGCAGTTGTATTTAGTCAGCTCAGGCTTTCCTAACAAAATACCACACACAGGATGGCTTAAACATAGAAATTTACTATCTCCCAGTTGTTGAGGTGAGATGTCCAAGATCAAGACGTTGATAGGTTGGACAGTCTTGGTATCTTCTGAAGCCTCTAGCTTTGCATTGCAGATGAGTCCTTCTCTCTGTGTCTCACATGGTCTTTTCTCTGTGCATATGCATCCTGGCGTCTCTTCATGTGTCTAAATGTCCTCTTCATATAAAGACACCAGTCAGATTGGTTCATGGTCCAACCTAATAGCTTCATTTTAACATTATGTCCTCGTTAAAGAATTTATATACAAATATAATCTCAATCTGAGGTACTGGGGGTTAGGGCTTCAACATACAAATTTTGGGAAGACACAATTCAGCCCATAACAACTGTGAAATTTGAAACCTCCCTCAGAAGCAAGGCTGTGGGTTGTTTGAGATTTAGGACCCAGGCGTAGAGTTGAGGAGAGGGTCAAGTTTGAAAGAGACAGGAGAGAGTGAAAAATTTGTCACCACAAATCTTTCCTGATTTCCCGTTCCTTTTTATCTTTTTGTGGCAAAATTTTATCTATATATCTTTCTATCTGTCTATCTACCATACTAAGTGTAAATATTTCTTCCCTTCTACTTTTTTCTTCTATATCTGTTCTTCCTTACCCCTTGGTTTTGCCTACTTAGGAATACAACATACAAACACACATTCAAGTCCTGTGTATACAAACATATGTTATCACTGGATGCCAAGTTTTTTTGTCTTATTTTGTTTTATTTTTTTTAAATCAAACAGAGAAAACATGGCAATACTTACTATTTAAACTGCCAAACTTTTAAAAAGCAGACTGAGATATATTCTAACAAGGAAATGTCTCATTATACTCTGGAATTGCAAAGTGTGTGAGTAAAATACCTTAGGTTTAATTTTAACTTCCTTATACCAGAAGACTTTGGAGATGAAAAGCTTATTCTTGTAGTCTGGATGAAGTTGGGTTACTTAACTTTATTTTGTAGAATCTTGCCAGGTTTTATGAAATGGGAGCACACATCTTGCTATAATCTGTAAAATATACAAGGAACCCCTGAAAATGTAGTTCATATGGACATCAAATGTTTAACCTCGATGGGTAATGCAAAGAAAAAGGTAGAATATGAACTCTTAGCCATCCATTTGTCTGACAACATGAAATATGTCTGAAAGAGGTAAGACAGCCTTTTCTAAGTCATAATTGTATGAGGGCTGATTCTTACTGAGTTGGTTCTTACTTTTCAACACATCTTAATTGAAATTGGCAGTTGGGGAGTATTCTCTGTTGATATATTAATCTTTAAAACTACTTAGAGAAATTATTTACCTTGAGAATTTATTCAAACACCTTTTATGGGAAGATGCCAAAACCTGCACTATAGAATACTAAGCAAATATAGTTTGCTCTATAGTTTGTTGAACTTAAGCATATACTGAACAGGAAGGGTTTCTTCTGGGGAGATTGTTTTCTTGTGTCAGTTTAGTTAATATTAATTTTCTATATTGTTCAATATTAATTAGACTGTAACCCAGTATATATAGTAGAGTATTAGAAACTAAGAAATGAAAAGTTAAACCTATAAAAACAGTCAAATATGGACAAGGTTTAACTTTCTGATTTCCTAGTTCAAAGTTCTAAAAAGGAGCCCTTTGTTTTCTTGCTTATCAGTAAAATCGCAAGCAAACCCTTACTTCTGTAGAATGGTCCTGCTTTTGTTGCTCTGATTTTTGCTCAGATTTATGTACATAATTTTTATAGCAGGGATGATCTCGTGATGCCCAGATTTTTGTAAGGAAAAGTAACCACAAGACTGACTCTAAACTCAAAAGACTTTTCTATTACACAGATATTACAGAAATTATCTTAATTCCTGTTTGTACTTTCAACATCTTTCAAACTGAAGCCTCCCAGAATTTCACAATTTATCAAGCACATATTGTCTATGCAAAGTGTAAAGAGGCAGTGGAATACATAAAATACATTGCCACTTTATATCTCTGGTGATACTCCTAGGAACCAGAAGAAATACGGGTTTGTCGTTTTCACTTAAATCCAGTCCATTTTCATCAGTCCTTTTTTAAAAACAAATAAAAATAAATAAATAGGGAATGCTTCATGAATTTGCATGTCATCAGTCCTTTTTAAAAGATAAGTAAATCAATTCTTCCATAAACTGTTCAAATTAAAACTACCTGTATCCTTGAAGAATGCAGTTCAGTCACTGGAGATGTTGAGAATATTTTTCTTCAGCAAAAGAAAATAATTGATTTATTTTTGGAAAATAACCTATGACTCATAATTTCTAATCATATGAAATCAATGGGTTAAATTACACAAATAATATAGTCACTTTTTTTATTTTTCCATTTTTTCCTTTCAGATATGTAAATACTAAATATAACAACTGTTTTAGAATGTAATATTTATAAACCTTGCTAACTATTGGGATACACAGAGGATTCAATTGATAACCAAAGCTGTGACACAAATATAAATAAAAATTATGCAAATTCTGACAAACAATATGTTATTTACCAGATAGGCAAAAACATATATTAGGTCTGAACATTTACATTTTAATTTTGCTTACATTTCCATTTCACATTTACAATTACACCTTGGTGAGAAGTGGAAAGTTAAATTTTTTGCCATTTAGATGTAGGACTGGAGGTGAGGAAGAATGGTTCTGGAGATGGCTACTATTCAGTCTAAGCCTTTCTGTATGGCTTAATGTTTTTGACATGTGTATTATGATAAAAATAAAAGGAAATTAACAAACCACTGAAACATAAGCATTGAACAAATATATATAAGGTGAATATAAAGCATAGATATTCAAGCCATATGTAATTTTGGAGAGAGTAGGCTTTTATGTATGAAGTCAATTTTATTGTTGTTCAGATTGTTTACATCCTCTCCCTGGAGCCTCTTTCCTAAGCACAAGTAAACCTTCTACCACATTGATGTCAATGTTGCCTGTCCAGTGAGCTTTGTTCAGTAACATATGATGGGAAGTGATGTGAAGCACTTCTGAGCAGAAGATTTAAGGGCCCAGATAATGTCTTCTTCTTCAGCCAGATTCCTCAGATGAGGACAAGACTAGGGCTTCAGCTAACTCAGAAAAGATATGTATTGTGAACCAAAAGTAAGCATTGGCTTTTGTTAAGTCACTGAGATTCTGCAGTTATTGTTCTCCCGATACTGTATAGAATAATCTGACTGTTGTATTCAGAGAGTACCTGGTTTATTATTTTTTATGTGCTTTTATTTCACTTATCATCTTTATACTTTATAGGTAATCTTGTCTTTTCTATGATTTTACATACATACACCGTCTCTAAATCCACATCTCTATCTCATACTTCTGTCTTATACATTATAATATTTTAGTTTGCCCACCCTGTCACATCCATTTCATTGTCATATATGTGTCTGCTCCATGTACAGAGGGAGATTCTTGATTGTCCTCACCTTACCAACCTCCTGCTCTTCTATCCTGTCTTTCTCATCAAAGGAAATGGCACTACTATGTGTCAAGCCCTCCAAGCTACATCTGGAGATTACTCTTTGATCCCTCTCTTTCTTTTACCTAATAAATTCAAACTATTAACATATTCTATACAATTTAACTTGAAAATATTTTGCAAATCCATTGACTTCTCTTTATATTCATGGCTGCAACTCTAGCCTAGGCTTCACAATCTTTCACTTATACTTCTGTGACAGTGTCTTCCTTTTTCCATTTTTGTTTTCCTCGATATTGTTTCCACAGTGAGCTTCTGAAATATAACTGATGAAATTACTTCTTGCTTAATAACAACAACAAACCTTCACTTTTATCTTTTATCTCTCTACATTTACACAGAACTCCAAAAGTCTCCCTCTGCCCCAAGGTTGTGCCTTATAGAACGTCTCTCAGCCCCGCTTATGCTCCTCACATCCTTGGCTCACCCTGATGCAGCCACCCTGGATTTCTCGTGGTTCTTAGAACAGGCCTACTGATTCTTTCCCAAAGCAGAGTTCTGTGCAAACTGTTTTCAATTCCTGGAAGAATTTCTCTCTTTAGTTTATTTGATCAACTCTCTCATTTTCAGGGATTCAAATTAAATAACAAATTCTTTAACAGGTTTTAAACGACTCACCTAATTAAAGTAGCTCACTCCCTCTACTTTTTCCTATCTCTTTTAAGAGATGGATAATAATTCTCTGCTCTAAGTATTTCCTTCATTGTAACTAATGCAATTTGTTAACATTTATTTGTTTTCTTTGTTCCTTTGTTTTTCAGTCCATGTCTTCCCCCAACCCCAAGACTGCAAGTCTATGGCAGCAGTTGTGACAATAGTAGGACTCATTAAATAGAGAAATGATGTATTGTAGAATAAAAAGGTAGGAAAGATAACTGTAATGTTGTTTTAAAAATTATCTATTAATAAATCATTTAAATTATTTTCTTAACATTCACAAAAATCAATTTTGTATGGTGATTTTGGAAAGAAATTTTTTAAAATTAAAAATAAATATTTGCTGAAACTTAATTTTAAAAAACAAATATTTAACGTAGTTAAGATAATTTTCAAGAAAATACTTTTTCACCTAGCATAGTTACCTATATATAAAGATATATTATAATCCCGTAAGAGCCCTGGCTTTTAATGTTACAATATGGAATATGGCAATATTTATACTGAAATAGCCCATCAAATTGAGACATTTAAATTTTAATATGAAGTTTGTTAGTTTTAATGTGTTTATAAATTATGCATACGGATATACATATGCAACAAATGTATAAACACATTAAATACACGTATATATTTGTATATATGTATATATGTGTGTGTATATATGTGTGTATATATGTATATGTGTGTATATATGTATATGTATGTGTATATATGTATATGTATGTGTGAGTGTGTTATGTTCTCTTTGTTGTACCAAATAACATTTATACAGGGATTATTTCCTACTTCAAACAGTTTATTAATATTTTTCATTAAGTCAAATCGTATATGTATCAGAGAGCTTTCGATAACTGTGAGAAGAGATAAACAAAAAAACAATACCTAGGGTCCTTAGGAATCTAACATTCAGATTCTAATCATAGGAATAATCTGGAATCAAGTTGAGGTCTACATAGATCAAATGAATTACTCAAGTTCAAAAAATTGTCAATGAATAAAACCAGAAATTTGTAGAAAGGAAATGAAAGAAAGGGTATTAAAATTTAATGAAGAGTGTCTTGGTCAATGACTGTCTGAGGCCAGCATGTGGGTGGTAAAGGGCTTTACCAAGACGGTAATGAGTTTAGAAAGATAAATTTATTTAAGGGAGGAGGGAGAGATACCTTGCAAAAGAGCAAAAGGCATGCCAGCAGAGGGAAGGCTGTCTGCTGTCTGCAAAGGGGCCGGGGCTGGAAGGGAGTTTTATAGGATTATGCTGCTTAGGCTGAATGCTTGCAGACCGGATGCTTGGGTAGACCATGAGCTGAGTGCCTGTAACCTTTTTGTGGTTGACTCCATTGCTTGAAACTTTCTCTCCTCTCTATCCCTGTTTCTTTTTTCTGCTGGCTAAGCCCCTTTTTCAATTTTCTTTTAACTCATTAGACTCCACATTTTCCCCTGACAGAACAACAATAACAAATCTTTGGCCTTTGGGTGGAGGTCTCATCTTTCAACTACTTCCTGCTGGCCTGGGTTGTAGAGCTCACCCTAACTGTGGTTGTCCGTTTGTAAGCAAATTTCTGAATGTTATCATATGTAATATGGCAATATGCATCTTGAAATATTCCAACAAATTGACACATTAAAATTTTTATTAAAAGTTTGTTAGTTTTAATATGTTTATGTTATATAGATATAGATATAGATATAGTGTGTGTGTGTGTGTGTATGTGTGTGTATTTCTGAGTGTGTGTTTTCTATGTTGTGCCCTGTGGGCTGTGGGTCTTATATTATGGGACATAAAATGTTGGGCATGGCTGGAGAATGGAACTTCGGGAGAGAGAGCATGTCCCTACAGAACTGATGTCCAGCCGAGTCTAAACAAGATTCGTGGGGGTCTCTGGGGACAATTAGCTGACACCCTTGCATCCTTAGAAGCTTAGTGTGGAATTGCTGCTTGTTCCTGATAGAGATTTTATCATTATTCCTCTGATGGGCTTTGCAATGAATGATAACTACCTGTGTAGGAAGCATCATTGCCTCCAACAAGATCATAATTTCAGGATCATTTTTAATTGGAGAATTTGGGGTGGTTAAAAGTCCTCTTTCCCACCAAATGGCTGCATCGGCATGAACTACACGAAAGGCATAGGCTAAGTCTTTGATAATGTTAAGCCTCGTGCCTGCTTCCAATTAATTGTAAGGTCAGAGCAGAGTTCTCTTTCTGGACTGAGGTGATGTTGCCTGGTAGAGGTTATGATTCTGTTTCTTTAGTGAGGCTAATGATAGCATACTCTGAAAATCGGGTCACCTCTAGCATGAAGCTGCTGCCATATGTGTACCATGTGGACTCTGGATTTGTGAGGAGAGTATTCCAGAGATTTAGAGTATGCTACAGGATAAATCTATGGTTTCTCGGCATAAATATTCAAGTGATCCTTCTGCATTTTGTTCTGGTAACAGGGTGGCAGGATTGAGGGTATGGTATGGTTTGATACTTTATTCTGATGCCTGTAGAAGGAGTGTTTGATATTTGCTAATTTGGGTATTTGAGATCCAGTGGAAAACCTTTGAGTTTTGGATATTCATTACCTCATATAGGCTGTATTACATGGCCAGAGTTAGCTGGGAGGCCTCCTCAGCCAAGAGGGCCATGGATTCTAGGCCCTAGAGGCATCAGGGCCATCCCTGTGCTACCAGTTCAGGGGCTTTTGATAAGTAAGTGATAGGTCCTTGGGATGGTTTTAATGGTTGGGCTAGGACTCTAATGATAATACCCCTTCTTTCATGTACAAATAGATAAAAAGGCTTTCTAAGATCTGGCAAGGCCAGAGCTGAGGCAGCAGTGAGGACTCATTTAAGGGTTTCTAGGGCATTGTCCATTTCAGAGTTTCAGTAAAGAGGCTCCTCCTCTGGTCCTTGTAGCACCTCATAAAGAGGTTTTGCTATGACTCCAAATTGGGGCATCCAAGTGCAAGCGAAACTTGCCATTCTCAGGAAAGAGTGTAACTGCTGTTTAGTGGATGGAGTGCACATGTTCAGGATAAGATTTTTGCAGTGGTCAGAGAGACCTTTTAAACTGGTGGTGAGTGTGAGTCCCAAGTTGAAACTTCTGGGTGGGGATTTGAGTCTTAGGAGGAGAAACTTTGTAGCTTATTTCTGGAGAGTTTTAACAGTATTTAAATCTGAAACATTTTCAGTTGGGCTGAAAATAAACAATTCATCAACATATTAAAGCAGTGCACTATTAAGAGAGAGTTGGAAGGTGGACAGGTGTATTAGTTCATTTTCACACTGCTGATAAAGATGTAACTGAGACTGGGCAATTTACAAAAGAAAGAGGTTTAATGGGACTTATAGTTCCACATGGCTGGGGAACCCTCACAATCATAGTGGAAGTCAAGGAGGGGCAAGTCACATCTTACATGGATGGCAGCAGACAAAAAGAGAGCTTGTGCAGGGGAACTACTCCTTATAAAGCCATCAGATCTCATGAGATTTATTCACTATCAGGAGAACAGCACAGGAAAAATCAGTCCCCATGATTCAAGCACTTCCCACTGGATCCCTCCCACAACACATGGGAATTCAAGATAAGATTTGGGTGGAGACACAGCCAAACCATATCAACAGGTCTTTAGTGAGAGCCTGTCCAAACAGATGTGGGCTACTGCTAAATTCCTGAGGGAAGACTGTTCAGGTTAATTATGAGAAACATGGCTAGAGGGATTTTTGCCATTCAAAGGCAACAAAGAATTGGGAGTTTGGAGGTACTAGAATGCAAAAAAGGCACCTTTAAATCTAATTCTCTAAACCATGAGATGCCAGAAGGAATCTGGCCTAAAAGGGCATAGGAATTGGGAATGATGGGGTGTATAGGGATTACTGCCTTGTTGATAGCCCTTATGTCTTAGACCATTCTGTAGGTGCTGGTTGACTTTCTGATTGCTAAGATTGGGGAGTTGCATTGTGATTTGCAAGGGCATCATAATCCCATGCTCAATTATTTTTTCATTAGGGGTTCTAGGCCCATTTGGGCTTCAGGCTGTAAGGGATATTGGGGTTGCGAAAATGTTCAGGTTCTCAAGATGGATTTTTACAGGGTATGCAAACAAAGAACGTCCTGCAATGGAGGTATCCCATACTTCTAGAGGAACTTGTTGTAAAATGTAGGATTTTAGGAGATTGGAGCTTTTGGTGGCAGGAGCTAGTAATGCTAATATTGGGCAGGCATGCTTAGGGAATTGAAAGCTAGTTTAGAGTTTTGTCATTATATCTTTTCCAAGTAGGGAGATAGATAGCACAGCTTGATAAAACCAGGAAAGGGTAAGTAAAAACATTTTTTCTTCAGAGTGCACAGTAAAGGGGAAGTGAAGCGTTCCTGCTGTAGCTTGCTGTCTATGCCAGTGAGGATGATTGAGAACCAATAGGTAGTTCTGGAAAAACTAGGGCTCAATAAGTAGACTTTGTGTTGATTAAAGACTCAATCTTATTCCCTGCCACATTTAGAGTTACCTGAAACTCAGCTATGGAGATGGTAAATAGAGAAGCCTGGGTGGCTTCTGAGCCTCATCTGTGAGCAGAGTTAGGGGCATTTGCTGTTGTCATCCTCCCAAATTGGCCCGTAATGGGAGTTGTTGGTTGTGGGATGGCCTTCCCACATGAGGAAGAGGTCCCGTTTCCAATGCCCCACTTGTTTGCAGTGTGCACAGGGGCCACCTGGTGGCCTATGAGGAGCAGAAGATGTTTCAGGAGGGTTTGGGAAGTTCCGGCTAATATTCCCTGGTTGATTATAGCAATAGCAGATAGAGGGCTCCTTAGTGGCCATCAGGCTCCAACCTGATGGCTGACCTGGGGTCCTTGGTATGAACAGAGAATTTGCAATGGCAGCAGCCATGTAGTGAGTCTGCAACTCATCTCTTTCTCAATCCTTCCCATCTCGTTTGGCCTGCAATATTTCTTCCAGATTATTAGAGACCTGAGGGCTGTGTCCAGCAAAGTGGGGAAAGGACTTTTTGTTTCGTGGTCTAGTTTCTGGAGTTTGGGCCTAATACCTGGAGAGGCTTGGCTGAGAAAATGAACAGCCAGAATAGCGAGGGCTTCTTAGGGTTCGTATTAGTATATTTTCTCATGGCTTTGGCCAGCCTGGAGTGAAATAGAGTTGAGTTTTTATTTGACCCCTGTGTTACCTCTCTTAGTTTGGGGTAGTTGCCTGGTTTATGACAGCCTTTTCCATGCCTTTAATTATAGAAGTAATCATATAATTACAACATTACCTGCCAGCATTTTCCTCATGGTAGCCCCATATAGGATTAACATCAGGGACTGTCATTCTCCCTGGGCCAGACTCCTGATGGTTCTGGTTATGAACCTCATCTGCCCATTGTTGAGCTAGATACGGAATTAAGGTCTTCTCTCATGTATACAATAGGTGGTAAGGTTAATATAAAGGTCCTGCCATTTGAGATTAAAGAAAATGTAAGTCCTTTGAATTCCTTTGTGAATTCAAAGGGTCCTGGTTACAGGAGCTAAACTTAGCTTTCTTTCTGAAAGAGGACTCTGATGGTGCCTAGATTCCCATTTGCCCCTTCTCAGTGTAGCAGAATCTTTTCTGGGCCCAAAATGTAATTATAACTGACCCTGGCCTAATATGTGAAGTGGAGAAGGGTCCCTTAAGGCAGAGGCACTGGAAAACGACATACAAGTTTGGGATGACGAAGAGAAGGTGAGGGAGAAGGAGCAGGTAGAGTAGGTATACTTGAATGTGAAGGTAAATTTTCAGGGGAAGAAGATGCAAGGGTGTTCTCAACTGGTCTATCTGGATGGGCAGAGTGGAAAAGGGCAAAGGAAGGGTCATCTAGAATGTAAGAGAAGTCAGTGGGTTAGAAAATTTAGCCAAGCACATTCAACAGATTTGGCAGAGATCAGGATCCCGAGAGAAAGTCATGAAAGCCTGGACATGAGGAATTTCAGGCCATTTAGAAATTTTGTGACAGAGCACATCAAGTTGCAAAAGAGTATTAGAATCCAAAGTCTTTTTCAGAGACCAGGCTAGTTGATCTGGGAGGCCAAACTACATTATACAGAAAATTAGGCACTTTCTTTTGAGAGTCTGGGAGCCAAATTTGTCCCAATGTTTTAGGTTGCAACCCAGAGGTGAGTCTGAAGAAATAGATGGAATTTGCTCTATGCTGGGACTGAAAAACTTTCTGCTGCTTGGAGCTAATGTCCACTGGGGACACAAACTGCATTTTCACTTGGGCATCCTGCCATGGAAAAGGGTTCCACTTGTATCTGCTCAGGGACTCTGAGACACATTTTCCAAAGGGGAGTCCCAACTATTGTAAGAACTGGCACTGGGGCCAACGGCCTACAGCACTGGTGCCAATGACACTGGGGCATTTTGCTGGATGGCCAGTCCAGTATGAAGAACGAGGGAGAAGGGTGAATTCAGCCTGAAACCAGCTAAGGAGAGGGAATGACAACGGGAGATTCATCACTTTAAAGCCGCTTGAGATCACATGATTTGAGAACCTCTGAAGCAGGAGAGGAAGTTGTCTTCACGGGAGAATTAGAGCAAGTGAAACAGAGGGTCTAAGTCTCCTAAAATGTTTGTGGAACCACACAAAGGAATTGGGGACCTCTGACCAGAGAGGGTAAGAGAGATTTCCTCCATTATGGGCAAGGCAGCCAGCCCTGTTTACCCCTTGGCCTTCAGGAAACACCAGGGGGTGGACCTGGCCATGTATCATCAACTACCAGAGGGCTACTATAAGCTGGCTGCTGGAAGGCTGAAAAAAAAAAAAAGAAAAAGAAAAAAAGAAAAATGAACCTAGGTCCCTCACCTGAGCAGGTGGTGGTAGTCACACATTTCTGCATGGAAACCCTTCAGTTTCACCAGAGTGTAGCCCTGGACAGACACCTTCAGTTGTCTCTGTACTTAGACACTGACCTCCAAGGGTCTTGAGTAGAAGGGGAGAAAGGGAGAGGAGAGTCCGCATATGGAGAGATTTCCCACAGGGAGAGAAGTTCTGTAGGGGAAAGGTCCCTGTAGGTGCTACCAAAATGTTGTTGTCAAAAACTGTCTGAAGCTGGCATGTGGGTTAATTAAGTGATTTACCAAGACAGTAATGAGTTTAGAAAGTGAAATTTATTTGGAGTAAGGTGCAGAGATATGTTGCAAGGGAGCAACAGGCAAGAGAGCAGAGGGAAGCTTGTCTGCTGTCTGCAAAGAGGATATTTTCCTATCTTCTTATCTATAAGCCCTGTTCAAATCTTTTTCCAAATTTTCTATTAAATTGTCTTATAGATTTTAGTTTTGAAGTAATGTTGAATATAAGATCTTTATCACACGTGTGTGTGTATATATGTATATATGAAATCAGTTTAAAGTATTTTCTTCTATTGTATGGTACATTTTTCACATTCTGAATAATCTTTTAGATGATAATTAATAATTTAAATATAATACATATTATCAAATTTTTGATTTGATAATGCAGGAGCGGTTTATAAGGTCATGCTGTTTAGGCTGAATGCTTGCAGAGCGGATGCCTGGGTGCAGGTGGGCTGTGAGCTGAGCAATGGTTAACAGGATGCTTGGGTGCTGGTGGGCCTTTTGTGGTTGACTCCATTTGTTGGAATATTCTCCCTGTTTCTATTTTTGTCAGCTAAGCACATGCTTCAGTTTTCTTTTAACTCCTTAGGTCTCCACAATGAGTAAATATAGGCTGTAGCAGAGTTTATGGAGGTTAAGCAGTATGTGGTACCATAGCAAGAAGTTCAAAAATATCTAGTAGTCAACGTCTGACTTCCTGATTGAGTATATATTCCTTTTGTATTTGTTCAGTATGATGGCCTTCTCATATTTTCTGTTTTTCTTTTACTAAAATGTAAGTCAGTCACTAAAATACACACACACAAACACACACACACATCTGTATGCATGTATCTACATACAAACATGTATTTGAAATCTAAATATACATTATCATGAGCAATGATAAAGTTTTACAATATAGCTTTACCCTTCATGAAATATTGAACAAAGGAAAATAAAAGGAGTTGATAACATCAACAGATAGATGTCCGTCTATTACATCTATGGCCTTCATGCTAAATGTTTATATGATGGTAGGTTTTTATAAGCTCTATTTGCTTTACTTCTTGCCAGCAATCATAACTTTGAAAAACATTTCTGAATTTTTTCCCTTTTTGGTAATTTTTTTTTACAAATATAATAAAGATTTATTAGACAATCAAGTCATTATTCAAGACCATGGGGCATATGTTTAACATACTTGTCTTACTGAGCATGATATATAAGTATGCTTGTATATATTTTTTGGATGTATGTATATCTGAAAGTACTAAACAAAGTAATTTTTTTTTCATTTCATCCTCTTAAAACGTTTTCTGCTGAAGCTGTTTTGAACACAGTTTGTTCAAGAATGGTTCTAAAGGAAAGTAGATGCTACCTTTAGAAGAAGAACCCATGCCATTTAATTACAAACACCCACAGGTTTTGTGTGTGTGTGTGTGTGTGTGTGTATTTGTGTGTATGTGTGTGTTATGTTCTGTGTATATTGGGTTGCAATATAAAATTTACTTCTATCTTTCAGTTGTAGTAAAAAAGTTTGAAAGTCATTGTGGTAATTTACATAGTCCTCTCTCCCTTCATCTTTCGGGGTAGAGAGCAATATACAATTATTTAAGCATTTTTTCAAAGGAGACTTGTGCTGGCTGAAGAAAAGATTTAAATTGTTGAATTAACAAATTCACACATATAGTGCCATGACTCAGGACAAAGTGACATTGTGGAATGGAGAAATTGCAGTGGAATGCAGTGGAGGAAGAATGACCTTTTGAAAATGATGTTAGGTCAATTGAATATACAAAGAAGGAAAAAAAACTTCCTCACATTCTACACAAAAAAACAATTTCAGATAGAATGTATATTAATCTAAAAAGTACAAAAGTAAGTCTATTAGAATAAAATGTAGGGGAATAATTGTCTTTCAGTTCAGTAAAGATATCTGAAAAGGAGTGCAAAAATTGCTACTATAAAGGAAAAATTTGATAATGTATAGTATATTTAAATTATAAATTAATCTATTATTAAGAATGTGAAAAATGTAACATAGAATGGAAAAAATATTTTAAATTTAATTCATATATACCTATACATACACACATATATGATAAAGGTGTTACATTCGACCTTGTTTCAAAACTAAAATCAGTAAGACAATCTAATAGAAAATTTGGAAAAAGATTTGAACAGGGCTTATAGACAAGAAGATATCAAAATATCCAAAAAAAGAGAAAAAAGTTCTAACTCATCAAGCAATAGTAAAATGCAAAACAAACTCAGAATGAGATGCTATATACAACACAACACCCACCAGGAGAGCTAAATGAAAAATGCTGACAAGACCTAGTATCGGCAAGAATGTAAAGAAAACAGAGCTCTTACACATTGCTGGTGGGAGAGTAAATGTGTATACCTATTTTGGTACTGTCTTTGGAAAACTCTTTCAGAATATGTCTAAGAGCTCATGATAGGCATTCTCTATAAGCAACAATTCAGATTTAAGGTATAAAACCCATATAAACAGATAGAGTCATGTAGTCATGTTCCGCATAACCACATTTCAGTCAGTGATGGATCCCATATTCTACAATGGTTCAGTAAGGATATAATGGAGCTACAAATTTTCCATTGACTAGTGACATGGTAACATTTTATCACAAGGCATTCCTCACATGTTTGTGGTGATGCTGGTGTAAACAAATCTACTGCTTTGCCAGTCATACAAAATGATAGAAAATATAACATGTACAGTACAGAACACTTAATACATAATATAATATGTATAGTACAGAACACACAATAATTAATGGTAGTCAATAAACAACAATGTTACTTGTTTATGTATTTACTATCCTACATTTTTATTGTTATTTTAGATGATACTCCTCTGCTTATTGAAAAAAAAAAAGTTAGCTGTAAAACAGCCTCAGGCAAGTCCTTCAGGAGATATTCCAGAGGAAGCTATTGTTATCATAGGAGATGACAGCTTCATGTGTGTTATTGCCCCTGGAGATCTTTCAGTGGGATAAGATGTGGAGGTGGAAGACAGTGATATTGATTATCCTGACCCTGTGTAGGCCAGGGCTAATGTGCGTGTTTCAGTCTTTGTTTTTAATAAAAAAGTTAAAACAATTAACAAGTTAGAAATATAAAAAAGCTTGTAGAAGAAGGAAATATAGAAGGTAAATATTTTGTGCAGCTGCACAATATGTTTGTGTTTTAAGCTGTTAGCACAAAAGGATCAACAGTTAAAAAATTAAATTTATAAAGTAAAAAAAAAAAAGTGACCATAAGCTAAGGCTAACTTATTGTAGAAAATGTTTTTAATAACTTTAAAGTACACTAAGTTTGCAGTTTTATGAAGTCTAAAGTAGTGTACCATTATGTTCTGGAGCTTCATTTTACTCACGACTCATTCAGTGACTCACAGAGCAACCTCTAGGCCTGCAAGCTCTATTCATGGTATGTGACCTAGAGACACATACCACTTTTTATCATTTATACCAAACTTTGTTGTGCTTTTTCTATGTTTAAATACACAAATATTTACCAAAGTGTTACAATTGCCTGCATATTTGGTATAGTAACATATTGTTCAGGTTTTAGTGTACTTCACAGGCTGGCTACATCATATATCCCAGGTATGTAGTAAGGTTTGTGTAAGGTTTCTATGTACACACTGTGACATTTGCACAACAAGAAATTACCTAATGATGCATTTCTGAGAATGTGTCCCCATTGTTAAGCAATACATGACTATATAAATATGTTTACCAAAAGAAATATACAAGAATTATTTACGGTTTCACAACTATAAGACCCAAACCTTGGAAGCAGCCCAGATATATATCCAGGATAGAATGGATTAAGGGATTTTGGTAGAGCTGTACTTTTGTATGACAACAGGAATTAATGGGCTACAACTATACATAACAATTAAAATGACTCTTGTATACACAGTGCTAATCAAAAGAGATTTTATACTCTTATAATTCTTTTTTTTCCAAATGGAGTCTCACTCTTGTCAACCAGGTTGGAGTGCAGTGACACGATCTCGGCTCACTGCAACCTTCGCCTCCCAGGTTCAAGTGATTCTCCTGCCTCAGCCTCCGAAGCAATTGGGATTACAGGTGCATGCTACCACTCCCGGCTAATTTTTGTATTTTTAGTAGAGACAGGGTTTCATCTTGTTGGCCAGACTGGTCTTGAACCTCTGACCACAGGTGATCCACCCACCTTAGCCTCCCAAAATGTTGGGATTACAGGCATGAGCCACCACACCCGGTCTTTTAATTCGTTTTTATATATTGTAGAATGGGCATAATTAAGCATAATTAATGGTGGTCAACATTGTACACTTGTTACCTCTGGAGGAGGTGAGTAGTGAAGGATGTTGACACGTTAAGGCCCTTATGGTGTTGATAACACTTTATTTCTCTTTCTAATTTTTCACACAAATGTACTCAGTTTGTTAAAATTTATCAGAATGGATATTCAGGATATGTGCATGCTTTTACTGTATATTTTTCAATAAAACGTTTACTTAAAACGTTCTTATTTTGTTACATTTAATTGATTGTATTGTTTAACTAAAATTAATTTTCCCCAAACCAAGTGGTAGGGAATTTGTGGAGAATAACACATCAGATATAGAAAATGTAGAAAGTATAGCGTCATGAGTAGTTTTTTTTTTATAACCATATATACAAATATTCATAGGTAGCCAAAACCTGAAGAACTAACTTTATTGTGAATTCCAGTTTGGTCAGTTACAAACCCTGTGACTGAATGTACACAAATTGTCAAAGTTCTATTTGTTCATCCTTAAAAAGGAGTACTACCTACCATAGATTTATTTGGGATTTTATTGAAATAGTATATTACTAAAAGACAAGATGCATAGTAAGCCCTTCGTAAATGCTATTTATCTTCCCTTTTGTTGTTTAAAATTATTTGAGGTTGCTTATATTCTATGAATGCTCCCTTCCTAAATTTTCATTTGGATCAAATTGGTTGAAAACACTATCAAATATTTTTCAAACCATTAAAACTCCCCATTACATACAAGGAAAAAGAAAAGTCCTCTCTAATTACGTTGGCTACTAAGACACTGTTAATCAGCAGTTTTGCCTAGCTATCTCTGGCAGAGGAAGCAGTTGTGGTAACAACAACTGGGTCACCTTCTTAACAACTTTATTATACAGTAGTTCATGTATTTTCTTGTTGTCAGATTTAGAGCACTTTGTGAAAACAATAATTGTACTGGGACTACGGCTGGCAGGCTTCCTTACTGAAAAAGAAGTCGAATGAGGTTGCTGTACTTTTAACTGTTAAAAGGCAAATGAAGCACTCTGTGTAGTTTTATCAAGGAATTACACTGGCTCTAACATTGAAACTAATTAATATTGTTTTGAATAGAAAATAGTGAATCTGTGCAATGTCTTCCTGAGAACAAGTTAGTGAATTCCTCATAAAAATGCTGTTTTGGGTTACCAGCACCAGAGGGATGTTTTGAACACAAGTAAAGGAGCCATAAAATGAATTGTTTGGGTGTGTTTAGTTCATTGAAATTCATGTTTCAAATAAAACAAGGCAAATCTTCCAAATCTTTTATGTAAATGACATTAAAAGGGAAGACAGACTTGATATTTCATCTCTAATTATTTTTTTCTTGCTGTAGTGAGTATACTGTAAATTGCTTATTATTGTTAAATAAACATTATGTGCACAAAGATGCAAGGTCTCTTCTTACACAAATTTAGCTGGGTGTGTTTTGTGATGAATAAATCCTTATTCACCACAACAATTATTTGTCACCTGGTCATGAATGATTTATTGTTCTATTCTTTAGGGAAATCCATGTACTGCATAATTCAACATTTAATTTTAAATGCTTACTTTCTTAAGAGAATGAAAATGTGGTCAAATGTGCTAAAATTATACATATTTGAAATCATATTCTTTTCTGAGAGGGTATTGGTATAGAGGAAATTTCTGTATTCTCTAAAAATATCAGGAGGGGAGAGAAGAAAGTGCAAATATGACAGATTTCACACAACAAAATTGACTAATTTCAGCAGTGGACCAGAAAATGTTATAAATTTTCTAAAAATTGGCATGTCATAATAATATCTAATTTTCAAATGCAGCGCATAGTATTTAATATGTATGTATTGAAAATACACTAAAAGACTGAATTGTCAAGACATTATGTTTAAATAATCTGTCATTTTATAATCTTCAGAGTGAAACTACATCAAAGGAATGCAATAAGAACATGCTATCTAAGAAGGTTTATTATAAATGCACATAAATGAAAAATACAATTTAAAATTTGACTCACAAATTTATAATTTTATTAACAACTAAGGCTTTCACAATACTAAAGTATTCAACAATTTAGTGTGTATATGGGAGGATTCACTTTTATACTATTGCAATCTTTTGCTTTTTTTTTTCCACAGTGTCTCACTCTGTCACCCAGGTTGCAGTGCAGTGGCACAATCTCAGCTCACTGCAGCCTTCGCCTCCTCAATTGAAGTGATTGTTATGCCTTAGCCTCCGGAGTGGCTGGAATTACAGGCGTGTGCCACCACATCCAGCTAAATTTTTGTATTTTTAGTAGAGGCAGGGTTTCACTGTGTTGGCCAGGCTGGTATGGAACTCTTGGTCTCAAATGATCCACCTGCTTTGGCCTCCCAAAGTGCTAGGATTACAGGAGTGTAAGGATATATATATCCTGAAGAAGATTGGACATCTTTCTGGCAATCCTATGTATGTAAACATGTTAAATAATCTTGTTTACGTCTCTTCTGGATGCTCAAGGGGCCATCTGCAGCACCCAAAAGCCAGGCATCAGGAATGACAACCTTGAAACTGAAATTTGATTTGGGAAAGTTTGTTGAATATGTTAGAGGTTTAAAACACTTGATATTCTGAAATAGAATTTCAGATTACCATAAGTCATTTGTTCTGCGAAAATGATGACTCAAAAATTTGAAAAAGCAAAAATCTTTCATTAGGCCTTATCATTATATGAAAATCCTGTTTAAGAGAAAGCTAAATTCCATCCTTGCATTAGTTTTCTATTAATGTTAACCACAATTTTAATGAAAACTTATAGACAATTTTAGTTAATTTTGACAAGTTTTACCATGATGTGAGATTTTCACAAACTTTTTATAACCCTCTACAATTTTGCTAGAGAAAATTTGCATTGTAAGAAAACCTTGTTGTGCTTGAATTTTAATGCTTAATTTATAAAACTATATTATACCCTTTTGAATTTAGTTAATATGTTTACACACAGAATTTTTTTTGCAAGATTAATTTTTACAATCTTTTCACAATTTGCTTAAACTTTTTGCTTTATTATATTTAATTTAAGACAATCCTTTTTCTCCGTGCAAAATATATATTTTCAAGCCTTTTTATAATCTTTCACTAAAAACACATTTTACTGCTCTTGCATACCTTGTATATATATTTATTTTCAGTAGTTTTAATTACATGTTATGATGGTAACTCTTAACAATTTTTTAACGTGAATGTAAAACCTATTAAGTTGTTTTAATTATGTCCTAGGTGCAGATAAAATTTGACTCCTTCCGACATAGTTAGGGACATGAATACTTCCATATGTCCCCAGGCCTTACCTATTGTGAAGCAGGCAAGGTGAACAAGTTTTATACATCAAAGAAGCAGTTTACAACTTTAAAACATTTAGCAAAACTAGTGTCTGACCTGCATAATTTAGACTATCTATTTGCATCTTGAAGACATTTGCTCTTTATTGATAATCTCCAAGGCTCTTCTTATTTCTTAAAGATAAAAGTCATAGGAACCAAGAGGCACTACAGCCTTTACTTTTCCCTTAAAAATATTTGATTCAAGTGGCCGGGCGCTGTGGCTCACGCCTGTAATCTCAGCACTTTGAGAGGCCGAGGTGGGCGGATCACAAGTTCAGGAGATCGAGACCATCCTGGCTAACACAGTGAAACCCCGTCTCTACAAAAAATACAAAAAAAAATTACCTGAGTGTGGCGGCGTGCGCCTGTAGTCCCAGCTGCTGGGGAGGCTGAGGCAGGAGAATGGCGTGAATCCGGGAGGCGGAGCTTGCAGTGAGCCGATATCACGCCACTGCACTCCAGCTTGGGCGACAGAGCGAGACTCCGTCTCAAAAAAAAAAAAAAAAATTGATTCAAGTGCTTATCCTTCTTTAAGTTAACTCATTAGAGCTCCCTCTTTTTAAATAGACATTACCCACATAACACATATATAATCAGACAGAAACAGAAGAAGATCCAGTAGCTATAACATTTTTAATTTGCCTATTTCCCAACTGGCTCATTGGCCTCTCGTGAGGCCCCTTAAGAAGATGGCTAGGAACAGTTTCCAGGGCTCCATGAGGAAAACAGAGATTTTTCCCAAAATGGGATTTGTAACACCTGTTCTGTTTTCCCGAGGAGTTGCATGCCACCAGAAGTTATTCTAGGGCCTTTCATACCTGCACCAAGAGGGACAAGACAGAGCGGAGAAAAGTAACTCAGTCAACTAAGAAAAAAACCTCTTTTAGATAAACAAGACTTATGAACAGAAAAACATAAAGGCCTTTTGAATATACTCATAGCTTGGATATCTGTTTTTAATTACACTGAATGCTCTTTAACAAAATCCTTTTTTATTCATTAAAACTTTACTGATAATATAAACAGTGATTTTTACCATTTCTTATATCAGTTTGCACCACCACTTGTTCAAAATCATGTTTAGGTTTTCCAGTTTCCTCTGGGAGATAGCGGCTGGCTTCAGGCAAGGGCAGGTTTTTAACTGGACTGTAGATCCCTGTAGCAGCAAAGCTTGATACTTGAGGAGGTGATTGTCTGTTAGCCAGAGACTTCCCTTAGATGGCAGCAGTCCTGCTATCCTGTGTGGGGTGCAAACAGTTAAGTTATTCCCCATGGTTAACCCACTGGCTGTTGAGCTGGACCTTGAGCCTTAATCAAATCTCCCAGGCCTATTTCCTTCCTTTCTGATATATAGAGATCAAATACCTTCCCTATAGGAAGACTGAGGGCTGATGCTTTAAGTAAGACTTGCTTTAGCTGGTTAAGGGCTTTTGAGTTTTAGGTTGCCAAGTTATGGAGTGAGTTCTAGCTGCTTGAGTTTCTTTTATGAGGTGGCATAAAGGATGAGTTATTTCACCATACTGAGGTATCCACGATCTACAAAAACCTGTGATGCCCCCATATTTTCCTAGCTGTTTGAGGGTTTGGGGAAGGGGAAAGGAGGAAATAGGCTGAATCTTTTCCTCGTCTAATGCTCTGGTTCCTTCTGACAAGACAAGACCTAGGTATCTAACCGAAGTTTGCCAGAGCTGAGTTTTAGATTTGGAAATTTTTTATCCTTTACATACTAGAAAATTAAGAAGAACCTCAGTGCCTTCTTGAGAAACCCCCTCAGTTGGGGCACAGAAGGGAGTGTTTTTACATAGTGCAAAATATTAAATTGAGGGTGAATAAAACTAGAAAGATCTTTGGACAGGGCCTGTTTCAGCAACTTTCTTCTGATATCAGGAGCTGCCTGAATAATGAAGTTGTTTTCTATTAAATTGGGAGACAAGTAGGTGTGTCTTACTAAAGCTTCTCTCAGCCTTTCCAAAAAGGCAGTGGAATTTTCATCTGGTTTCTGGTTCAACAAGGACAGTTTAGATTAATTAAGAGGTTTGCTTAATTTGCTGGTTCTTCTTATTTTTTGCAAGACTTTTAATAGGCACATTAGAAAGTGGGGTTTTTTTCACTTATTTATGGGGTCACTAGGGCCCCAGTTAGGGTATTCAAGGTGCACTGACTCTCTTCCTATTGGGAATGAGGATTCTGTCTGTCTTTATTATTTTACCCTGTTTCCCCTTTTGACTGAGTTTCTTTTTTGACTGCCTATTATTCATCTTTGAATATCTTTGCTGCCTGTAGGTTTTCTTGTTTCCCTGAAACAGGGTTTGGCTTAAAAGTAGTATACCAACTCTTAATGTAAGATTCAACACTTGGGTTAAATTTTGAAAGGCATATATATACATATATACACGTGTATATATACATATACATGTGTATATATACATATATACATATATATGATATATATAATATATATATATCAGAGTTATTAGAGAACTTGTCTAGATTCTCCTTTGTCTAAGGTGCTGTAATGAGAAGGGAACTTGGAATCTAGTGGCACCATGTTCATTGGGCATTTCCTGGAGGGGCAAAGGCAAAATTGGGAATTTTTTGAGTGGCACAACCAGAAGAGCTAATGATTTGGCTATTGGGATTCCCAAATAAATGGAGCAGGTAGAGCACCCAGATATTGCATTTAAGCATTCCCCAAGGATGCGTCTGTCTTTGGGGAATTATCCTTTGTAGGCTTTCCTGACACGGCTGCCAAGAGGTAAGGGTTAATTTTACAATGCTTGCAAGGATCTGGGTTGTCTTGCAGGGTAAAGAAATATCTAGTTGTTGGATACTACTGAATTTAATGCATCCCTAAGAAGGCTAGGCCTTCTCATTGTAAGATGGCCATGCCCTTGTGCAATAGAATATAAGCTGTTTTCTTTTTAGAGTCTTAGGGTCAAAGATGTTTCCAGTTATTCAAAATGCACTCGAGGGGTGTACAGACTGCAGATAGTTTGTTACCCATCTAGAAAGTGGGGGGAGACAAGGCATCCCTCAGTTGCCTTCCTCCCTTTTGTGTGACACAGGGTGCAGGAAAAGAGAGAAATGGTGTCCCCCTTCTCCTCCTTTCTGCTCTCCTCTGAGTCCTGGCGACCATTATAGGTGCCACCCCATGGTTACAAGAGTGACCTTTACCCATGGTCCTGGAAAAGCTAGTCAGCAGAATGTGGTCACACTTACCTGCTTAAAACTTTAGCCTTCCACCATGCTGGATTCCTAGACTCACTCAGCCCAAAAGATACCAGAGGTGCCCCAGAGGTCTGGGAGAAATTATATAGTAGTTGGATTTGGAAAAGACCCTTTAATGGAGGGAGTTTTTTAAAACTATCTTTAACTTCCCTTGCTATGGCCGCATTAAAAAATTGAAATCCCACAGAATGGGACTGATTAACTTCTAAACATAAAATTAATTTTTTGTTTAAATTCCAATGTAATTGATTGCAAAACAGGTGCCTTAAAAGAGTATGAAAATTGAATAGCTGCCCCTATTTTGATGGGGACATTATTGAAGCTAAGATCTGTCTTATCAGGATAGCTTCCTCCTGGCTGTGGAGAGTGAAGTTTTTTTTCTGTTTACAAATAGGACATGTGGCCTGATAACTGAGAGAAGGATGCAGAAGAAAAAAGAATTGAGTAACCAGAGGTTTGGGGCAGAGGTCTAACAAGGCTCTCCGTGGAAAAAAATCCATTTCCACTAGGTGGCGGTGTAGGGTTAGAATGTTAGGTAAAAACAGACTCCAAATTCTTTTCATGCAAAATTTAGGAAAAGAGGTTTAGGGTTTGATAGGCTGCCCCTATAGAATTCCCCCCAGCATAATAAAATTAACTTGTCTCCCAAAAGAACTATTTAAATTCACTGGACAATGCTAAGCTCTTATATAAAGGAAAATACAACCCAAATGGAGAGGAGAATATACACTTAGGGTGAAGTTTGCTCCCATAGGGTGCCATGAATATCTATTATTGAGGGAGAGAAGGGACCTTACCAGGTGAAAATTTAGACTGAAATCTTGATTTTGCCCAGTTTCTAGGAAGTTACAGAAACAACAACCCTTTGTATTACATTCCTGATTGCTAAGACACAGACTAACTCCACCCAACAAGATTCTATCTCTAGTTTGCAAAAACACCTGCAACATTGTACGTAAAAAAAGGATAGGGCCGAGTGTGGTGGCTCACACCTGTAATCCCAAGATTTTGGGAGGCCAAGGCAAGCTGGTCACCTGAGGTCACGGTTCAAGACCAGCCTGGCCAACATGGCAAAACCCCATCTCGATCAAAAGTACAAAAATTAGCGAGGCATGGGGGCTGGACTGGCATCTGTAATCCCAGCTATTCAGGGGGCTGAGACAGGAGAATAGCTTGAATCTGGGAGGCAGAGGTTGCAGTGAGCTGAGATCATGCTGCTGCACTCCAGCCTGGGCCACAAGAGCGAGACTCCATCTCAAACAAACAAACAAACAAACAGGCATAGGAGATATGATATCTGGGAGAAGAAAGAAGGAAAATGCAATAGGAAACTACTGGAAGTCCTTGTGCTGACATCCTGATGGGTCATCAGTGACTGGACTTAGTCTAAGGACATTCAGATAACACTGAGGGGTAGCCCCAGCCAGAAATCTTCAGTTACTCTAGGACATCCTTCCAACCCCACACAATGGCTAGGTCCTCCATGAAAGGAAACAAGATTGAAATAAACAAGAATCCTCAGAAATTAAAGTAAAGGGTTAAAGTTAAACATTCACTCTTGATGAATTCCCTTCTGATGAATTCCCTTCTTCCTGGCCCATTCACCAAGATGTAGCGCCTGGAGTTGTTTGTCCTACTGCCAAAAAAATTAAGGAGCACAGACATAAAAGTGAAGTTGGAGTGAAAGTTTAATAAGCAAAAGAAGAAAGTTCTTTGCCAGCAGAGAGTGGGTCCCAAACGGGAGTACTCCCTATGAGGCTGGAGTCCAGGGTTTTTATGGACCGGGAAAGGGAAGAAATTTGGCCATGAGCTGTCTGGAGAATGCATCGCTAAGTTTGGCCCAAGGCCTTGGCCCAGGACCAATCAGGGGCTGAAGTGATGATTCATAAGGGCTGGACTTACAGTCCAACAAAGGAAAACAGAGCGCCCACCAGAACCCACTGGAACCCACTGTGCCCATGCCCACAAATGCAGAAGAAACTTTTCCTGGGAGCCCACTGACTATACAAAAGACAAAGGCATTTCTAGGCCAGGCCTTGTTCCTTTATCTGAGTGAGCTGGAGATTTGTGCAAGTTTTTATCCAAATGGATTGGAGGATTTCTGTGTAGCCGTGGGCATGTCTTCCAGCACAACAGCCTGTGCTAGTTCCCTTATCGATGCTACAGCTCGAATTTTTCCTCAGGCTGCTTATTATGTTACGTGAGGATGAGGCACTGAGCAATGGGCTGCGATTTCCCGAGGACCCTTCCCTTGCTGTCCACCTAAGGCAAACTAACCAACTCCTTTCAATATTATATGAATGCTGCCTAACAACTTTCAAAGCACTTTCCTGCATATCCCAGAAATCTAGTACTGTTAAAGCAATATAATTTTCATTCAGATTTTTTTTATATTTACCAATGTGAAAACATAGTAGAAATATATATGTCTTGTAAATTTAGCTTGCTAAAAAAGAGACTTTTATAACTTTAAGGTGATAATGGAAGGAGTTTGAACAAGTATTATTTTTTAAACACATAATGAGTCACTGCTATATTTTACAGACCATCTGAAAGACTAACTTAGATAAGAAGCATTAGCCAATTTTACTGTAAAATAATGGTTATTTTTACATTAGTTAGTGTGTCTGCATAACATTATAAGTCTCCCCTATAGATCACAAAAATATTCCTAAAAATATGTGATAACCTGAAGTAAAACAAGAGAACAGCTTTTCTAATGTCCCTATTTTATCTGATATATAAGAGTCATCCAAGGAAAATAGAACACATTCATATATTTAGATTCTGGATAATTAGAAAATATTATAAATAACCACATTGTTTAATACAAGTGTATGATTTGTTTATGTATTATCAGTAATAAATGTACAAAATTTCACACTTAACCATAACTCCAGAGCTACTGCTGTACTGCAAATAATTATAAAAAAGAAATAGCCCTAAGAGATTATGGTTCATGAAAAGAGATGCAAACAGAAGTTAATCTATAATATCATACATGTGAATTAACATATTTTATAAATATTGATTTCACTAACTGGGAATGCATAATAATTCTGATTATTTTTTAAAAAATTAATTTTATCTTTGGTTTGCTTAAAGAAAATCGGTTCGGGAATTTCTCCTTCTACCCTAAATAAAGTAATAGGATTTATATCTTCCCTCTCAACTAAAACAACCAAAAAAGGTAACAGACAAAGTGCGTAAAACAGTTGTCAAAACACTGGACTCAGAAAATGAAGGCAGTGATATATGAGAGAAAAAAAAAAAAAGAAAAGCAAGGTCAAACTTACAACCTTACAATTAATCTTTCTTACTGCTTTGAGATAATTTTCAGCCTGTGGTTTACTGAGAGGGAACTTAGACGAGCCCAATAGCCATAGGAAGGCAAAAGCAACACAACCCATAAGATCACTGTATTAGTCAGGGTTCTCTAGAGGAATAGAACTAATGGAATATATACATATGTGTGTGTGTGTGTGTGTGTGAGTGTGTGTATATATATATATGATATATATCAAAGGAATTCAGTGGAGAAAAGATAATCATTTCAACAACTGATACTACAACTACATATATATATATATGTACACAGACACACACACACACACACACACACCGGAGTTTAAGTATTAACTCACACAATCACAAGGTCCCACAATAGGCCATCTGCAGGCTGAAGAGCAAAGAGAGCCAGTCCAAGTTCCAAAACTGAAGAACTTGGAGTCTGATGTTTGAAGGCAGGAAGCGTCCAGCACGGGAAAAGGGTGTAGGCTCGGATGCTAGGCCAGTCTCTCTTTTCACATTTTTCTGCCTGCTTATATTCTAGCCTTGCTGTCCGCTGATTAGATTGTGCCCACCAGATTAAGGGTGGGTCTGCCTCTCCCAGCCCACTGACTCAAATGTTAATCTCCTTTGGCAACACCCTCACAGACACACCTAGGATGAATATTTTGTATTCTTCAATCCAATTAAGTTAACACTGAGTATTAATTATCACAATCACATATTGGAAAGAGGATATCACCAGTGACATGGAGAGCCCCTTCTCCCAAGAGTTTAGCCTTCCCCCAATACCAGGAAAAAGACAAGACTATCTACTTCCACCACTTCTGTTCATCATTGTATTAGTGGTTCCAGCCAGTACAATAAAGCAACAAGAAGAAATAAAATGTCTTACTTTAGAGAAAGAAAATCTTTATAAACAGATGACATAATAGCTTATGCAGAAAATTCAATGGAATCTATAAAATAGTACTAGAAGCAATAAGTGAAGTTAGTAAGGTTTTGGAATACACATTCAACATTTTTTACAAAATTCTTTTTTTATGTTAGTAATAAACACCAAAAAATTGAAATGAAATCTATCATAGCATCAAAAAGTGTAAAATATTTACAGATAAATTTGACAAGTATGAGAAAGGCATACACTCAAATATTAAAAACATTGCCCAGAAAAAAACAAGAAATTTTAATTAATGGATACATATATGATGTTCCTCAATAGGAAACTCAGTATTTTTAAGATTTAACTGTTTCCAACTTGATTTTTATATTCAATAAATTGTATTCAAAATTCCAGTAGGCTTCTTTTTTTTCAGAAATTGAAAATCTGACTCTAAAGTTGGTAAAGAAATCTGAAACTTAAAATAACCAAAACAGCTTTGAAAAGAACATATTTGGAAGATTAACACAAAAAGATTTGAGACTTATAATCAAAATCATTTAGAATTATATTACTATATAGAAATAATAAATAAATATAGAAAAATAGATCAATATGACTGATTAAAGAGTTGGGAAATAGACCCAAATGTATCTGAACAATAGATTTTGGAGATTTTTCAAAGCAATTCAGTGGAGAAAAGATTATCATTTCAACAACTGATGCTACAACAATTAGATATCGATATGCAAATAAGTGAATGTCAATCTGTAATTTACACCATATATGAAAATTAACTCAAAAAGTATCATAGTACTAATTGCAAAAGCTATGATTATAAAACTTCTAGAGTAGTTGGGAAAAATTGTGGCTTTGGTTTACAAAGATATCTTAGATATAATTCAAAATAATTATCTGCAAAAAAATGAATAAAATTGAACTTCATCAAAATTAAAATCTCTATCTCATCAAAAGGTACTTTTAACAAAATTAAAAGAAAAACAATAAACTGTGAGAAAGTATTTGAAAAGCACATACTGATTGTATTTAGAATATATAAGGAACTCTCAATACTGAATACAAATTGGAGTTAGAGGAACAAAGTAACGCTACAAAAATGAGCAAAATATTTTAGCAATAATTTTACCATAGAAAATATACAGATAACAAATAATTTCATAATTAAATGTCAACATAATCAGTTGGAAAATAAAAGTTAAGGCTACAATGAGATCTCTCTATGCCCATATTAAAATGTCTAAAATTAAAATGTTGAAACATACCAAGTATTAGCAAAGATGTGGAAGAACTGGAATACTTATAAATTTTAGGTGTTGAAAGTTTTACTCATATAACCATTTTAAAAAATATTTTGGCAGTTTCTTAAAAGGATAAACACATATATATTATAAGATCCATGCATTTCACTTCTAGGCATTTGCCCTAAATAGAAGAAATTTTATATCCGTACAACGATCGATTTGTGCATGAATGTTCACAGCAGCTTTATATGTAGTAGCTTAAAACTGAATTCACCGGAATATCCATTAACACATAAATGAATTCACAAATTGTAATATATCCAGAGACAATGAAATAGTATATAGCAATAAAGAGAAATAAACTACTGATACACAGAACAAAATAGATAGATCTTAAAAATCATTATAAATGAGAAGAGACAAAAAGTTTACATAGCATAAGTACCTTTTATATAAACCTATAGAAAATGTGAACATTCCAGAAGATCGCTAACTAGAAGTAGTTAGTGTGCACCACTCTCATGGAAAGAAATATAAGGGACAAGTGAATAACACACCTTCAACTGAAATATTCAGATGCGCAAATTGGGATTTATCAAGAAAACAACATGACTCATGGAAAAAAGGGAGGAGCAAGACAGGATGACTGCCCACCTGGGAGCAATAGGGAGCCAGCAGAGGCTTCCCTTCCCAGGGAAACAGTGAGTGGGAGACCCCAGGACCCACACTTCTTCCATGGATCTTTGCAATCCTAGAGTCAAAAGATTCCCTTTGAACCTACTCCACCAGGGCCTTCAGTCTGACATACAGAGTTGCCTGTAGTCCTGGGAGGGCCATTACTCAGATTCACTTTGAGTCCCAGGAGCCTTTGATCCTTGGGCATCTTGGCAATAATGGCTGCAGCTCTATCAAAAGGGGAGATCAGCCTCCCTTGCACACCCCCAGGAAAGGAACTGAGTCCAGGGGGCTGGGCAGCAATGGCCTGCAGTCTCGCTTCCATGGCACCTCACAGGACAAGACCCATTTAACTGGGATTCCAGCCTCCCATGGCCTGTGTACTTTGGCGAGCACCAATGCTCCACATCTATGACACTGGGGTTCCAGATGGAGGGGCAGGCTACCATATTTACTGTTTTCCAGCCTTCCCTGATGCTGCTTTCAGACTCTATAGAGTCTGAGGGGACTGAGAACTGGAGTGGACCCTCAGTGCAGCATGACTTCCCTGTGGAGAAGTGGCCATTTTTTGCATGGGTCCCTGATCCCATTTCTTCTCCCTTGGCAAGACCTCCTGACCAGGGGCTCCAGACACACCTGCTGCAGTTCTCAGGCCAGGAAGGACTGCATCTCCCTGAAACAGAGTACCCACAGAGAGGAGCAGGCCACCATTTTGCTCTTTTGTAGCCTTCACAGCTGCTGTCTTCAGGCTCTGGGGAGTCCAAGGTAACCAGTGCCTGAAGCAGATTGCCAGCACAGCACAGCCATCCTATGGAAAGGCAGTCAGACCATTTTACACAGGTTCCCAATCCCATTTCTCCTCATTGGGCAGGATCTAGAGCTGTGGTGTGCAGTGCCAAGCTTTGATCTGCAGCTCTCAAGTGGGAGAGGAACCCACATTTTCAGAGCATTGAGAGGGAGCACAGCTACAGCTGCAAGGAAATATAGAAAAAAACACGTGACTAAACAAGAGCCTACCTACTGACAATTACACTTAGACACTTACTAGAATGAGAGCCCACCTACTGTGCCCTACTAACTGGCAGTTACACTTAAACACCTACTAGAATGACAGTCCACATACTGGAATGAGAGCCCACCTACTAACCTACTGTATTCTACCCCCAAAATTCAACACCAAAAGTACTTTGCTAACATACCCTGCTGTGAAACCAAAGACACGAAGTCAGCTGCAAACAAAGATGCTGCATGAATCCTTGGCCTTCTGGGAACATCCAGAAAAAAATTCTACTGACTGTATTCAATCTACATCACAGTTAAAGAAACATTTACACACAGAGATGAGAATCAGTGCAAGAATTCCGGTGACTCAAATGGTCAGAGCCTTCTGTCCTCCAAATGACTGAACTAATTCTCTAACAAGGGCTCTTAACTCGGCTGAAATAGCTGAAATGACAGAAACAGAATTCAGAATATGGATAAAAATGAAGATCATTGAGATTCAGGAAAATGTCAAAACCCAATTCTAGGAAGCTAAGATTCACAATAAAATGATACAAGAGGTGACAAATGAAATAGCCAGTATACAAAAGAACCTAACTGAACTAATAGAACTGAAAATCATACTACAAGAATTTGATAAAGCAATTGCCAAGTATTAACAACAGAATAGGCTGAGCTGAGAAAAGAATCTAAGAGCATGAAGGCTGTCTCTCTGAAATAGACAGTCAGACAAAAATAAAGAGAATAAAAAGGAATGAACAAACCATCAGGAAATAGTGAATTACATAAAGAGGCCAAATTGATGAATCATTGGTGTCCCTGAAAGAAATGGGGAGAAAGCAAGCAACTTGGAAAATATATTTCAAAACATTATTGATGAAAATGTCCCAAAACTTGCCAGAGAGGTGGCCAACAGCTGAATTTAAGAAATGCAAAGAATTCCCTGCAAGATAATACACTAGACTATCATCCCCAGGAAACATAATTATCAGATTTTCCAAGGTCCAAATGAAAGACAAATATGTTAAAAGCAGCTAGAGAGAAAGGCCAGGTAACCTGCAAAGACAACCCCATCAGGCTAACAGCACACTTTTCAGCAGAAACCCTGTAGGCTAGAAGAGATTGGGTGCCAATATTCAACATTCTTAGAGCAAAAATCCTCAAACCAAGAATTTCATATTTAGTGAAACTAAGCTTCAAAGGTGAAAGAGAAATAAGATCCTTCTCAGAGAAGCAAATGCTGAGAGAATTATTTACCACCAGACTTGCCTTGTAAGTGGTCCTTAAAGGAACACTAAATATGGAAAGTAAGGTCAATGATCAGCCAATCCAAAAACATTCTTAAGTACATAGACCTGTGATACTATAAAGCAACCACAGAAACAAGTCTGCACCACAATTACCTAACACAATGACAAGATAAAATCCACACATATTTATACTAACCTTGACTGTAAACACACTAAGTGTTCCAATTAAAAGTCACAGAGTGGCATGCTGGATAAAGAAAAAAACACAATGTATTCTGTCTTCAAGAGAGCTATCTTGCATTCAATGACACCCATCTCAAAATAAAGGAATAGAGAAAAATGAACCTAGCAAGTGGAAAACAGAAAAAAGCAAAGGTTGCAATCCTAATTTTAGACAAAACAGGCTTTCAACCCACAAATACCAAAAAAAAGAAAGACCAGAAAATGGCATTAAGATATATGTGGTAAAGGGATCAATTCACTTTAAAAAACCTAACTATCCTAAATATATATGCACCCAACACAAGAGCACCCAGATTCATAAAGTAACTTCTTAGAGGCTTAGGAAGAGACTTGGACTCCCATAAAATAATAGTGGGAGACTTCCACACCACACTTACTATATTAGACAGACATCAAGGCAGACAATTTACAAAGATATTCAGGTCTTGAACTCAACACTTGACCAAAGAGATCTAACAGGCATCTGCAGAATGCTCCATCTGAAAAGAACAGAATGTACAATTTTCTCATTACCACATAGCATGTACTCCAAAATTGACCACAGAATCAGACATAAAACAATTCTCAACAAATTAAAAAATAATAATCATCCACACTATTGTACCACAGTTTAATACAAATAGAATTTAATAAAAAGATAATTGCTCAAAACCATACATTTACAAGGAAATTAAACAACCTGTGCCTAAAAGACTTTTGGGCAAATAATGAAATTAAGGGAAAAATAAAGAAGTTCTTTAAAACCAATGAGAAGAAAGATACAACATACCAAATCTCTGGGACATAGCTAAGGCAGTTTTAAGAGGGAAATTTATAATACCAAATACCCACATAAAAAAGTTAGGAATATCTCAAATTAACTACCTAGCATTACAATTAGGAAAACTAAAGAAGCGGGAGCAAACCAACACCAAAGCTAGCAGAAGACAAGAAATCACCAAAATGTGAACTAAACTGCAGGAAATGGAGACACAAAAGCTATTCAAAAGAATAACAAATCCAACAGTAGATTCTTTGAAAAATTAATACTTAATTAATTCTTAATTAATAAATACAACTAGACTAATAAAGAAAAAGGGAGAGAAAATCCAAACAAACACAATTAGAAATGACTAAGGGGTTGTTACCATTGACCCCACTGGAATACAGAAAATCATCAGCAACTACTATGAACATCTCTAGCCACACAAACTAGAAAATCTAGAAGAAATGGATAAATTCCTGGACACATGCACCTTCCCAAGACTGAACCAGGAAGAAATGGAATCCCTGAACAGGCCAATTATTATTCAGATATCATTATTGAATGAGCTCTGAAATTGAATCAGTAATGAATAGCCTATCAACCAAAAGAAGCCCAGGATCAGATGGATTCAAAGCTGAATTCTACCAGATATTCAAAGAAGAGCTGGTACTATTCCTACTAATTTTTTTTTAATTGAGGAGGAGGAACACCTCCCTAACTCATTCTATGAAGCAAGTATCATTCTGATATGAAAATTTGGCAGAGATGAAAATGAAAAATTAAGGCCAATATCCTTGATGAACATAGATACAAAAATCCTTAACAAACTATGAACAATCTGAATCAAACAGCACATCAAAAAACTAATCCATCATGATCAAATAGGCTTTATCCCTGGGATGCAAGGTTGGTCCAATATATGCAAACCAACACATGTGATTCATCCCTTTAAAAACTGGGCAAAAGACAAGAACAGACACTTTTCCAAAGAAAACATACATGCAGCCAACAAACATAAAAAATAAAAGGCTCAATATCACTGATCATTAGAGAATTACAAATCAAAAGCACAATGAGGTACCATCTCACACAAGTTAGAATGGCTATTATTAAAACATCAAAAAAAATAACAGTTGTTGATGAGGTTGAGGAGAAAGGGAAATGCTTATACACTGATGGTGGGAGTGTAAATTAGTTCAACCATTGTGGAAAGCAGTGTGGTGACTTTTCAAAGAACTAAAAACAGAACTACCATTTTAACCCAGCAATCTCAATACTGGGTATATATCCAAGGGAATATTAATCATTCTACCATAAAAACATCTGCAAACATATGTTCATTTTAGCACTATTCACAATAGCCAATACGTGGAATCAACCCAAATTCCCATCAATGATGGACTGGATAAAGAAAATCTGGTACACATACACCATGGAATACTATGCAGACATAAAAAAAAACTAGATGATGTCCTTTGTAGGAACATGGATGGAACTGGAGGCCATTATTCTTAGCAAACTAACATAGAAACAGACAGCAAAATACCCCATGTTTGCAATGATACGTGGGAGCTAAATAATGAGAACTAATGGGCATGAAAAGGGGGACTACAGACACTGGGATCTACTTGAGGGAGGAAGCTGGAAGAAGGAAGAGGATCAGGAATAACAACTATCAAGTGCTATGCTTAGTACTTAGGTGATGAAATGGTCTGTACACAAAAACCCCGTGACATGAGTTTGCCTGCCTTAACAAATATGCACATGTACCTGCAAAGTTTAGTGAGAAAAAACAAATCAGAAGTTGAACAGCAGGGCTGGGAGGGCCAGAGGGGAAGGATTATAAAGGTGCATGGGAAAATTTTAGAAGTAATAAATAAGTTTACTATTATGATTTTTTTATTTCATTGATGTACATATATACATATGTTAAAACATCAAATTGCACACTTCAAGTATATATAGTTTATTGTGTGATAATCACATCTCAAAACATCTGTTATACATTGACGAGTTAAGCAAGAGGGAGAAGCATTCACCTGTACAAGAGGTCTAACTAGCTAATATCAATTTAAAAATATGTATTAACATTGAGTGTTCATACATGAGACATGATTGTACCTTTTGATTAGTTTGCTTAATTTGGTAACTATATGTAATGAAATAATGAAACAACATGAAAACAAAGTGTTCATCAGGTGACATTTTGTAGTCATATAATAAGTATATTTTAAAGTAATAATTTTATAAACGTTGATTGAAGTAGCTTATTGTTAAAATTTAATTATAGTTTAGATGGGATTTCTCTCTTATTCTCTATAAATATTGCTATTGCTTTCCAAATTTATAAGATAAAACCTACTGATAACACATTAAAAAGAATGCTATGTGCTTGACATTGTGCTACATATTTTCTGCATATTATGGAACACAGGCAAAATTCAGAAACTTATGTCAATTACCAACTAGAAAAATTAAACAAATATTCATTCATTGAATCAATAAAGTTTAGCTTAATTAATTTTTGATACTTACATAATTTTAGCATTTATATAATATACATCTCTTAAGACATAAATATATTAAACAAATTTATATATCTTGTAAATATATTATATTTATAATATGTAATTGCACACTATATATTTATAATCTATAACCAAGTATCATACTATATATATTATAATTACAAGTTATAATTATATAATACTTATAATATATTGATATAATATATTAATTATATATAATATAATGTGCAATTATAATATATATGTAAATTGCCTCCTGAGCTAAATACATGAAATTCAGTGCACGTATTTTTTTCTTTTTGCCTATGTATGCAGTTATTTTATTAAAATGTTATAATCTAATGGATTTACAATTTATTATTAAAATATTATTTTAAATTGCCCTGTGTCAAAAAATAAATGTATTATGAAAAATAGACACTCTCATTTATTCTTGATGAAAATGTAAATTTTTAAACTCTTTTGCAAGGCAATCTTGTAATTCTTACTTAAATGTTCAGTAAACACACACTGTAATTGTATATTGTATACATGTGTATACATATGTGAGTCATACATATATAAAGAGACACAAATAATTATCTATTTATTTATTGACACGTGTTTTGTCATTAAATATGCATTCTGCATATCTTGTAATGGACAATTGGCTAAATAACATTGTCATAAAATGTTAGCTATACGTTAGTTAAAAACAATTAGGCAGATTTAGCAGTTTAACAATCTACCTCCCTCACTTTCTATCAATATACTTAATAGAATGAGTTCTTTCATAAGAAAGAATTAGGAAACAAGTGATATAAAAGAGTCTACATACTACCCTTTGTGTTATAAAAAGTCTAAGCACATTCACAAATAATATTTAGCGCAAAATATATAAAATAAGAAAGATATAGTGGTTACTTTTGAAGAAAAAAACAGTCAACATTTGGGGAATTGAAATGGAGGACTTATTTTTAAATCTGCATTATTTTGTACTCATTGAATTTATTTAACCATATGTGTGTATATGTATGTGTATAAATATATGTGTATGTGTGTGTTTGTGTATGTACATATATATTTCCTAATTAATACCTCATGACTTTCAAATCAAATAGAATTATTTGAGAAATAAAGACATAAAAAATAAGTTAAAGAAACTGAAAGGCAAAGAAATAAAACCACTAAGGAGTCCCACTCTAAAAATACTTTTCCTTAGCAGCTTGGTCAGCAAATTCACCTATCATCAAGGATAAGTTAAATTTCAGCAGCTATAGACAACTATTTAAGTAGAAGATATCAATCACTACAGTGGGAAATATGGTAAAAGATTACATGTTGGTGTCACATTGGGATTTATGTCTAAATGAAGAAAACACGTGCATTGCCTGTGTTCCAGATCTCAAGGGCCAATATAACCTCCTCATGCTAGGATCAAAATGCTCTTAAATAACCAATTGAAAATTGAGTTTATTGTTTTGAAAGTACTGAATTCACTGAAACATTATCATAGCACAATAACTTTTTTTTTTTTTACTACCAAGGGAAACTTCTTAACTGAATTTAGTGTTATTTAATTTTATACTTTTAAGCTGAGTTTGAAAATACACCTGAGATAATAGGGACAGGCAGGATGGTTAAGGACATTTTTCAATACAGTAGCTCAGTCAGCAGCTCTGTCTGACCTTGGGCATATTTACCTTTTTTGTTCCTGCAGATGTTTATCTCACGTAGGTCATAATTAACTGTCCATAGTCAGTAATTACACTTATTTTTTCCCATAAGATATAAGAATTAAGTTTAGCCTAATAATAAAGTAAGAATGAAGATCAACCTACCAGTTGCTCTAGTCTTCCTGAGTGACTCGTTTCATTCTAAGAAACCTGATACTGTCTTCTCATCCAATGACATGTGATGTATAACTTGACTATCGGTAAAAAAGAAAATATGGGGAAATCATGAGTTTAAAAAAATGGCTAGCTCTTTGTTCTTAGCAAATTATATTATCTCCTGCAACCAGTTTCTGCTATCACCAGTGAAAATTAAATAATCTCTTCCTGAGGAAGGTCATACTTTAAAGTTTTGTGATCATAATGTACCAAAATATACATATAAAGCTAGAAATGTGCCTAAAGTGATTCCTTGTCTTTTTAGTCAACATTAAACAACATGATACACAAATGTCTACTCCGCTTCTTCCTTCTTAATAGTAAATTGCTTACTACTCTAAATAACCCAGGACCTTACTGCAAATCATATGGCAGCATGTGCATTAAAAGAAGCGATTGTCCACAATCTGCTAATGAGAGCTAATTCCAAATCAAAGAATAAAAGCTGTTTAATCACTTTTATTTTGTTATTTGTCATAGAAATTTTTGGTTAATTGCAATATTTATCACATTCACTTATTTAAGACGTCAAGGTTACTATTTATTTTTATTATTTTAAATATGTGAAAAATTAATGTTCAAAATTTCTAAAAAAAGAATTATAATTGTAAAAATTGTGTTTTTTCCTTTTTCTTAATATCCTTGGAACAGGACCATCATTTGCTCTATTCTTCTTATGACAAACACTGTGTTATAACTGTGTTTTAATTATATAATACAATAAATGTATTATATAAAAATAAACAACTGTAGTCCTCCCTTATCCATAGTTTTACTTTCACAGTTTTAGTTACTCATCGTCAATTTTGGCCTGAAAATGTTAAATGGAAAATTTCAGAAATAAACAATTTAGAAATTTTAATTTGTGCATTATGCTGAATAGTGTACTAAAATAGTGAGCTGCCTTGCTCCATCCCAACCAGGATATAAATCTTCATTTTGTCTAGTATACCCTTGCTGTCTATGCTACCCACTCCTTAATCCCTTAGTAGTCTTCTGGGTTATCAAATAGGCCATCACAGTATCACAGAGCTTGTTTTCAAGTAACAGTTATTTTTCTTAATAATGGCCCAAAGCACAAAGTAGTCATACTGACAATTTGGGTATGACCAAAAAATAACCTCATAAAGTGCTTTCCTAAAGTGAAAAGGTAAAAGTTCTAGACTTAATATGGAATGAAAAAATATTTTATGATGACATTTTATCATCATTATGGTTTAGGTGACAGAAAAGAAGGGTTGGAAATAATGTTAGTACCATCTACAGAATCTGACATTTTATGCCAGAGAAATAACTTGTAGTAAGAAGTCTCTTAGAGGCTCCCTACGTCTTCATCTCTTGGTATTCACACCCTTGTCTAATACCCTTCCTTTAAGTATGGACTGCACCTAGTAACTCACTTCTAATGACTAAAATAAGACAAAAATTACAAATGTCACTTCTAATATTAGTGATAAAATGACAATGGCTTTCAGCTTGGACTCTCGTATTGCTTGCTGACACTGAGGAAAGTAAGCTCTCCTTCAATGAGCTGGTCTAAGAAGTAAACCATATGACAAGGAACTGATATCTCTGGCCATCAGCCATGTGAGAGAAACTGGTAATGAATCATATCTGGAGTGAGCCTTGAGAGGAACACAGTCTTGGCAAAAACCTCAATAGATCCTAAGCTAGATAGAAGCAGCTAAATTACACCAGGATTTCTGATCCACAGAAACTATGAGGTAATAAGCGTTTTCTGTTTTAAGCAGCTAGGTTTTGGGTAATTTGCTACTCAGAAACAGAAAACAAATGCTAATTTGTAGCCATTGATTTCCAGATAGAGATAGAAAAGTCTTGAGGGATCTATACAGAAAAAAATAAATTTCTAGAAATTGCATATTCAATGTTTTATAATTTGTTGATTGTTTTAGTAAATCACTTATGAAATTAAGATATTTACAATTCATAGCTATAAATTATCAAAATTTATAAACGTATAGAAAATTTATAATCTTACATACAGAGTATGATTTTAAAAATCTTTAACATACACTATTAGGAATACGAGCCAAAGAAAATCATTGTTCTTTTTAGTGCAATTATAACTTCAGGAATTCCTGTGGAACAAATGTAGCCATAATGGAATAAAGATAGAATTGAGAAAATAATCTTATTCTGCAGTTTGCAGAATAACAACAAACTGAGACAAAGTAAAACCAACAAAACAAAACAAAATAAACAAAAAAAAATGATGATCTGGAAACATCACCAAATATTTTCTTAATATGAATTCCTACCACTATCATTTACCAAGAATTAAAACCTGACTTTTCTGTGCAATCTTATAAGAAATAATCCTCATATTGATTCCTCACATCAATTGGTCTTGAGTTCAGAATTTCTATTATTTATTCTTCAATTTGTTTTCCTTTAGTTATCAAAAATGTTTATTCCTTCAAAATGTGTGTGTTAGCTCATTAGAGATGTTTCCATTTTTATTCAGTTACATAGTATCTATTCAGTAAATCATTGTTTTATTAACAATTTTTGTGAAAATAGGCTTCAAAAGTGAACAGATAATTGTTTAAAATTCTTATGATTGTTAGATAATGCAAACAGAGTAAAAATATTAGAGCAAAAAATCAAGGTGATTAAAAATAATAACAGTAAAACCATCTGCATATAAATTGCCTTATATTCTATATACTCAAAAGTACAAAACTGAAAATAATTGTAATCTTTAAAAGAAGGGGCAACAGTTCCATCCCCCCACAGGCTTGAAAGTACCTGATCCCATTCCCTGACCTCTCCCTGCTCCCAGTGCCTGTTCTGGGACAGAGCAAAGTTGTGGTAGAGCCTGGGGTCTGCTGCAACCTGGCTGGGTATGCACATGCTCAGAGTGATGCTGACACATTAGCCCCCCGCCACATCAGCCTCCTCTGGCCTTTAGGCACCAACAAGCATGGGAGGAGAGTTGGGGGGCTGAGGGTGGCTCCTTGTGGATAGTCTGGGTACTGTGAATGGCATATTAAAGGTTCCTAGGCAGGAAAGGGTGTGTCCCCAGTGAATCCCCTTTAGGCCAGTGATGGCCTGAAGCATGGGGACCTGGCAGCCAGTTCTGGGCAATGTCTGTGTCCCAGAGTGAGAACTTCACTGATGACCATTTGGCCAAACAGATGGTGCTTTCTTCAGGCCCACCCATGGCTGCCAATGGACTAATCAGGATGCACTTCCTCCACTCTGAGCACATAAAAACCTCAGAATCAGCCAGACTCACTCAGTCATCAGGAGTGACTGCATAAAGGAGCTACCAACTATAGGTCTCTCCTCTGCTGAGAGCAGGACACTTATCAGGAAAACACACCTGCAGAAAGTAGCTGCAAACTTGGGGTCTCCTGAAAGCTTTCCTCTTGCTGAATGCATTTCCTCTCCACCTTGCTCACCCTCCAGTTGTCTGCATACCTTATTCTTCCTGGACGTGGGACAAGGATGGTGGGCTTGAAAGAGCTGTAACACAAACAGAGCTGAAACACACCTTCTACTCACCACATTGCAGGTGATGAGAAGAAGAGAAAAGCTGTGGCCCTTCTGGGAGCCTTGACCTTGGAGTTCCCCAATCCAGGGCTGTGATATGTTGTACCATCCTTCTTGGGGTTTTGTCATTCCTGGCATCTCCAAACTTTAGGGTGCAATTGTGTTTCCCTTGTCCACATGCTGGTGCCTGCAGCAGAAGCCACTTGCAGTATGTCTGGTCCAGCTTCATCCTCACATGGAGCTAGCCCTGTGCTTGCACCTGTAACTGCCCACTCCACTGCAGTCAGTGCATGTGCCTGTGACCTGTGGCTGGATCCCATGCTTGCTGATTCACACACCTCTTGCCGCTCTATGCCTGGCTCACCCTTGGCAAGCGTGGGATCTGGGTCTGTAGTGCAAACCAAACACAGCCTGCTGGGCTGAGTAGATGAAAAGAGCCCAGTGGGAACAAACAAAATCCAAGAAGAGGACCCAACAGCCACAGAGGTTTCTGGCTGGTGAAGCAACACCCTAAGAATCCCATGACACATTGATCTGTTGCCTACATGAAACACACTTCACCTATAGAGACACACACAGACTGAAAATAAAGGGATGAAACATTCCATTCCAGGGGAAACCAAAAAAAAAAAAAAAGCATGAGTAACTATAGTTATATCAGAAAAAATATATTTCAATTCCAAAATTATAAGAAGAACAAAAGAAAGTCACTAGCATAATGATAAAGGAGTCAATTAAGAAAGACAATATAGCAATTTTAAATATATATGCACCCAACACTGGAGCACCCAGATATTTAAAAAATATATTATTAGAGCTAAAGAGAGCAATATGCCCCAATGCAATAATAGCTGGAGACTTCAACACCCACTTTCAGCATTGGGCAGATCTTCTAGACAGAAAATTAACAAAGAAACATCAGACTTAGTCTGCCCTAGAGGCTAAATGGATGTAATAGATGTTTACATAATATTTCATCCAAGGTCTGCAGAATACATTCTCTTCCTCAGCATACAGATCATTCTCAAGAATAAATCATATGTTAAGTCACAAAACAAGTCTTAAAGATTAAAAAAAAAAACAGAAAAAATATCAAGCATCTTCTCTGACCACAGTGGAATAAAACTGGGAATCAATAACAGGAGGAATTTTAGGCTCTATACAAATACTTGAAAATTAAACAGTATGCTACTGAATGACTAGTGAGTCACGGGAGAAATTTAGAAGGAAATTGAAACATTTCTTTAAACAAACAATAATGGAAACACAACACACCAAAACCTGTTGGATACAACAAAAGCGGTACTCACAGGGAAGCATATAGCTATAAGTGCCTATATTGAAAAAGAGAAAAAAATCTTCAAATGATTAATCTAACAATGCATGCTAATGAGTTAGAAAGCAAGAGTAAACCAAACCCAACATTAGTCGAAACAAAAGAAATCATAAAGATCAGAGCAGAAATAAATGAAATTGAAATGAAAAAATGCAAACTATCAATGAAACAAAAGTTTGCTTTTTGAAAAGTTAAACAACAGTGACAAATCTTTAACCAGATTTACTATGAAAATAAAAGAGGATATCCAAATAAATAAAATCAGAAATGAAAAAGGAGACTTATCAGCTTATACTGAAGATATTCAAAGATTATTCATGGCGACTCTGAGCAGCTATGCTCAGGGAAATATGAGAAAATCTAGAAGAAATGGACATATTCATAGATACATTTGACCTCCCAAAATTGAACCTGAAAGAAATCCAAACCTGAACAGACTAATAACAAGTATTTGAAGGCATAATTAAAAGTCTCCCAGTAAAGAAAATCCCAGGACCTGGATGGCTTCATTGCTGATTTCTACCAAACATTTTAAGAAGAACTAATAGCAATCTTACTTAAACTTTTCAGAAAAACAGAAGAGGGAATACTTTCAAATGTATTCTGTGATGGCAGCATTACTATAATTACCAAACCAGAGAAAGACACATTAAAAAATAAAACTACAGGCCAATATCTCAGGTGAATATTGATGCAAAAACCCTCAACAAAATACTAGCAAACCAAATTCACCAATATATTGGAAAGATTATTCGTCATGACCAAGTGGGATTTATCACTGGATGCAAAGATGGTTTAATATATGAAAACCAATCAACATGATACATCAACAGAATGAAGAATAAAACCACATGATCATTTCAATTGATGCTGTAAAAGCATTTGATAAAATTAAACATACCTTCATGATAGAAACTTACAAAAAACAGGGTATAAAAAGAATATATCTCGACATAATAAAATTAATATATAACTGACTCACAGCTAGTATCATAATGAATAGGGAAAAATTGAAAGCCTTTTCTCTTCTAATATCTGGAACATAAAAAGGATGCCCACTGTTACCACTGTTATTCAGTATAGTACTGGAAGTCCTAGCTAGAGCAATAAGACAAGAGAATGTTATAAAGGGCATCTAAATAGGAAAGAAAAGTCAAATTATTCTTGTTTGCTGATGATATAGTTTTATATTTGGAGAAAAACTAAAGACTCCACAAGGAAACTGTTAGAACTGATAAACAAATTCAATAAAGTTTCAGGATACAAATCAACATACAAAAGTAAGTAGCATTTCCATATGCCAACACTGTACAATATTTAAAAAACCCATTTACAATAGCCTCAGATAAAATTAAATACATAGAAATTAATTTAATCAAAGAAGTTAAATATCTCCAAAATTAAAACTATAAAACACTGATGAAGAAAATTGAGGAAGACACCAAAAATTAGAGAATATTTTGTGCTCATGTATTGTAATAATCAATATTTTTTTAATGTCCATACTCCCCAAAGAAATATACAGATTCAATGCAATCTTTATAAAAATGCCAAAGACCTTCCTCACAGAAATAGAAAAAATAAAATAAAATTTGCATGGCACCACCAAAGACTCAGAATAGCCAAAGCTATTCTAAGCAAAAAAAAAAAAAAGAAAAAAAAGAAAAAAAAAAAAGCTGGGTGACTCACATTACCCAACTTCAAATTATACTACAGAGTTATACTAAACAAACCAGCATGATGCTGGCATAAAAACAGCCACATAGACTAATGGAACAGAATAGAGACTCCAGAAGCAAATCTGAACACCTACAGTAAGTTCATTTTTTAAAAAGTTGCCAAGAACATACAATTGAGAAAAGATAGTCTATTCAGTAAATGTCTTCCTTAAATGGTGCTGGGAAAACTGGATATCTGCATGCCAAAGAATGAAACTAGAGCCCTGTCTCTTGCCATACACAAAATCAAATGGAAATGGATTAAAGACTGAAATTTAGGACATCAAACTATTTAACTACTACAATAAAACATTGGGGAAAATCTCCAGGACATTGGTCTGGACAAAAATTACTTGAGCAACACTCCGCAAACTCAGGCAACCAAAGCAAAAATGGACAAAAGGGATTTAATAAAGTTACAAAGCTTCTGCATAGCAAAGGACACAATCAACAAAGTAAAGAGACAACTCACAGAATGGGGGAAAATATTTACAAACTTCCCTTATGACAAGGGATTAATGACCAGAATATATAAGAAGATCAAACCACTCTATAGGAAAGAATATAATAATCTGATTTTAAAAATGGGGAAAATATATATATATATATTTTTGAGATGGAGTGTTGCTCTGTCGCCCAGGCTGGACTGCAGTGGCGCCATCTCGGCTCACTGCAAGTTCCGCCTCCTGGGTTCATGCCATTCTCCTGCCTCAGCCTCCCGAGTAGCTGGGACTACAGGCACCCGCCACCACGCCCCGCTAATTTTTTGTATTTTTAGTAGAGACGGGGTTTCACCATGTTTGCCAGGATGGTCTCTATCTCCTGACCTTGTGATCCGCCCACCTCAGCCTCCCAAAGTGCTGGGATTACAGGCGTGAGCCACCGTGCCCGGCCAAAATGGGGAAAATATTTGAATAGACATTCCTAAAAAGAAGACATACAAATGGTAAACAGCTATATTAAAAGATGTTCAACATTGATCATCAGGGAAATGCAAATCAAAACTACAGTGAGATATCATCTCACCCCAGTTAAAATGGCTTATATTCAAAGACAGGCAATAACAAATGTTGGTGATGATGTGGAGAAAAGGGAACACTCGTATTCTGTTGATGCAAATGTAAAGTAATACAACCACTATGGAGAACAGTTTGGAGGGTCCTCAGAAAACTAAAACTTGATCTACCATATGATCTGGCAATCCCAGTGCTGTGTATATACCTAAAAGAAAGGAAATTCGTATATTGAAGAGATATCTGCCTTCCTATATTTGCTGCACCAGTGTTAACAATAGCTAAGATTTGGAAACAACCTAAGTGTCCACCAACAGATGAATGGATAAAGAAAATGTGATACACATTTGGAGTACTGTTAAGCCATAAAAAAGAATGAAATCCAGTCGTTTGCAGCAACATGGATAGAACTGGAAATCATTATGTTAAGTGAAATAAGAAATGCACAGAAAGGCAAAGAATCTATGTTCTCACTTATTTGTGGAATCTAAAAATCAAATCAATTGAACTCAGGGACATAGAGATTAGAAGGATGGTTACTAGAGTTTGGGAAGTGTTGTGGGGTGTTGGGGGACAGACAGGGATCATTAATGGGTACCAAAAGAGTTGAAAAATGAATAAAACCTACTATTTGATAGCTCAATAGAGTAACTACAATCAATAATAACTTAATTGTGTATTTTAAAGTAACTTAAAAAATGTAAATGGATTGTTTCTAACTCAAAAGATAAATGCTTGAGGGCAAAGATACCCCTTTCTCCATGATGTGATTATTTCACATTTCATATCTTTATCAAAACATCTGACGTAACACATGACTATATAAATCCACTAGGTACCCAAAATACTTTATAAAAATAAAAAAAAACAAGGACAAAATAACAGAAAACTAAAACAAGGACAACTTTTTAAAGAGTACATGATAATCAATATTCCAATTAATTAATTTACATCTATTTAGGAATTATGAAGAGCCAAATACTATGGGAGATTCAAGAGTTTAACTTACCTTATATGTTTAATACCTAGGTGGAACAATAAATTTATATATTTATAAATGTTATGTAATTGCATATAATACATAAATTACAATAATGAAGTCATTATCTTCAGTACTGTTTACTTTCTTTAGTGCAATACCAGTTATAGTCTCCCTAGGGCTGCTGCACTTCAACTAGTATCTTTAGGGTCTTTCAACAGACTGTGTAATATCCTACCATTTTCTTAGCCTATTTTCTCCCTGTCATAAGTAAGAAAGCATACCTCGTCCAAAGGGAATTTTTATCCACGTCTAAAATGCTGCAACTAATTATGGGATGAATAACAATTTCCTAAAATTTTGCCTGACACCATATTTTCCAGCGTAAATGAAAACAGGAAAAAATCATATATAGTCACAAAGAAATTAAGAAATCTTGGATAAAGCCAGTCAGGTAAATGTATCCACCTCTTATACTTACTAAATTTGAAAGACAGTATACATGTAACTGGAACAACAACAAAAAAAACTCTTCTTTCAATGCATTTATTTTGGTCATTTTTGAGCCCTGTAAGAAATTATGGTGGCCCAGAACTGACGTCTACTTGCTTTCATGAGGTCACTCTAAAAACCAACATTATTTTATCTAGATGAAATACATTTTTATGTATTATAAAAATGTTATAATTATGAGGTTGATTTTAGAATAAGTGCTATGTGATGCAAGACTGTATATTCTGTTGATTTGGGATGAAGAGTTCTATAGAAGTCTATTAGACCTGCTTGGTCCAGAGCCGAGTTCAGTTCTGAATATTCTTGTTAATTTTTTGACAATAATTATTTTGACAATATTATTTTGTTAATAATATTGACAGTGGGGTGTTAAAGTCTCCCACTATTATTGTGTGGGAGTCTAAATCTCTTTGTAGGTCTCTAAGAACTTGCTTTATGAATCTGCGTGTAATTTAAAGTAAAACACTCCTCAGGAAATGCAAAAGAATGAAAATCATAACAATCTCTCAGACAACAGTGCAATGAAATTAAAACTCAGTATTAAGAAACTCACACAAAACCACACAACGGCATGTAAACTGAACAACGTGATCCTGAATAACTACTGGGTAAATGACAAAATTAAAGCAGAAATAAATAAGTTATTTGAAACCAATGAGAACAGAGACACAATGTACTAGAATCTGTGGGACACATCTAAAGTAGTGTCTAGAGGGAAATTTATAGCACAAAATGCCCACAGGAAAAAGTGGGAAATATCTAAAATCTAATAAAGAAGAAAAGAGAGAAACATCAAATAGACACAATAAAAAATGAGAAAAAAGAGATCGCCACTGATCCCACAGAAATACAAACTACCATCAGAGAATATTATAAACACCTCTACACAAATAAACTAGAAAATCTAGAAGAAATGGATAAACTAATGGACACATACACCCTCCCAAGACTAAACCAGGAAGAAGTCGAATTCCTGAATAGACCAATAACAAGCTCTGAAATTGAGGCAGTAATTAATGGCCCACCAACCAAAAAAACTCCAGGACCAGGCGGATTCACAGCCAAATTCCACCAGAGGTCCAAAAAGGAGCTGGTACCATTCCTTCTGAAACTATTTCAAACAAAAGAAAAAGAGGGGCTCCTCTCTAACTCATTTTATGAGGCCAGCATCATCCTGATACCAAAACATGGCAGAGACACAATAAAAATAGAAAATTTCAGGCTACTATCCCTAATGAACATCAATGTGAAAATCCTCAATAAAATACTGGCAAACTGAATCCAGCAGCCCACTAAAAAGCTTATCCACCACAATCACATCAGCTTCATCTCTGGGATGCAAGGCTGCTTCAACATACACAAATCAATAAACGTAATCCATCACATAACCCGAACCGGTGACAAAAACCACATGATTATCTCAATAGATGCAGAAAAGGTATTCAGTAAAATTCAACATACTTTCATGCTAAAAACACTCAATAAACTAGGTATTGATGGAACTTATCTCAAAATTATAAAAGCTATTCATGACAAACCCACAGCCAATATCAGAATGAATAGGCAAAAGCTGGAAGCATTCCCTTTGAAAACCAGCATAAGACAAGGATACTCTCTGTCACCACTTCCTATTCAACATAGTATTGGAAGTTCTGGCTGGGGCAATCAGGCAAGAGAAAGAAATAAAGCGTATTCAAATATGAAGAGAGGAAGTCAAATTATCTCTGTTTGCAGATGACATGATTGTATATTTAGAAAACCTCATCATCTCAGCCCCAAAACTACTTAGGATGATAAGCAACTTCAGCAAAATCTCAGGATACAAAATCAATGTGCAAAAATCACAAGCATTCCTACACAGCAATAATAGACAAACAGAAAGCCTAATCATGAGTGAACTCCCATTCACAATTGCTACACAGAGAATAAAATACCTAGGAATACAACTTACAAGGGATGTGAAGGACCTCTTTAAGGAGTACTACAAACCACTGCTCAAGGAAATAAGAGAGGACACAAATAAAGGGAAAAACATTCCATACTCATGGATAGGAACAATCAATATTGTGAAAATGGCCTTAGTGCCCAAAGTAATTTATAGATTCAGTGTTATTCCCATCAAGATAACATTGACTTTCTTCACAGAAATAGAAAAAACTACTTTAAACTTCATATGGAACTAAAAAAGAGCCAAGAACAATACTAAGCAAAAGAATAAAGCTGGAGGCATCACACTACCTGACTTCAAACTATACTGCAAGGCTACAGTAACAAAAACAGCATGATACTTGTGCCAAAACAGATATATAGACCAATGGAACAAAACAGAGGCCTCAGAAAAAAACACCACACATCTACAACCATCTGATCTTTGACAAACCTGACAAAAACAAGCAATAGGGAAAGGATTCGTTATTTAATAAATTGTGTTGGGAAAACTGGCTAGCCATATGCAGAAAACTGAAACTGGATCACTTCCTTATACCTCATACAAACATTAACTCAAGATAGATTAAGACTTAAAGGTATAACCTAAACCCACAAAAACCTGAGAAGAAAATCTAAGCAATACCATTCAGGACATAGGCATGAGGAAAGGCTTTATGACTAAAACACCCAAAGCAAGGACAACAAAAGCCAAAATTGATAAATGGGATCTAATAATACTAAAGAGCTTCTGCACAGCAAAACATTCATCAGCATGAACAGACAACCTACAGAATCACAGAAAATGTTTGCAATCTATCCATCTGACAAAGGGCTAATATCCAGAATCTACTAAGAATTTAAACAAATTTACAAGAAAAAGCAAACAACCCTATTAAAAAGTGGGCAAAGGATATGAACAGGCCCTTTTCAAAAGACATTTATGTAGCCAGAAAACATGAAAAAAGCTTATCATCACTGGTAATTAGAGAAACGCAAATCAAAACCACAATGAGATACCATCTCACGCCACTAGAATGGCGATAATTAAAAAGTCAGGAACAACAGATGCTGGAGAGGATGTGGAAAAATAGGAATGATTATACACTGTTGGTGGGGTGTGAATTAGTTCAACCATTGGGGAAGACAGTGTGGCAATTCCTCAAGGATCTAGAACTAGAAATACTATTTGACCCAGCAATCCCATTACTGTGTATATATGCAAAGAATTATAAATCATTTTACTATAATAACACATGCACACATATGTTTATTGCAGCACTATTCACAATAGCAAAGTCTTGGAACCAACTGAAATTCCCATCAATGATAGAATGGATAAAGAAAATGTGGCACATATACACCATGGAATACTATGCAGCCATAAAAAAAGAATGAGTTCATGTCCTTTGCAGGGACGTGGATGAACTGGTAACCATCATTCTCAGCAAACCAGCACGGGAACAGCAAAGTAACACAGGAACAGAAAACCAAACGCTGCATGTTCTCACTCATAAGTGGTAGTTGAACAATTACAACATATGGGCACAGGGTGGGGAGCATCAAATACCAGGGCATGTCAGGGGTTGGGGGGGCAAAGGAGGGATAGCATTAGGAGAAATACCTAATGTAGATGATGGGTTGATGGGTGCAGCAAACCACCAATGCACATGTATACCTATGTAACAAACCTGCACGTTCTGCACATGTATCCCAGAACTTAAAGTATAATAAAAATAAATAAATAAATATGATTAAAATAAACTATTGTTTAGAAAAAATGTTATAATTGTTGTTATTTATTACATTTCGTGGGGTTTAGTGTGTGGAATAGTGGAAATAATTTTCTGTCTTATATTGATTAATACAATTTTGTTCGTCTTGTACAATTAGTTCTTTTTATCTCATAGGCATCGGAAATTATGATATTGGCAAGGTTCCTTTTCCTCCCAGCCACACTTTAATTGGCCACTTCAGAAAGCTTAGTGTAAAATCACTTGTTCCATATCTCTCACCCTGGCTTTACTCTCAGTCCAAGTATTAAAGAGGAATGTTGTTTTCTTCACCCTAGCATCTAACTTATTGATATTTTTCAAGTTGAAAATTGATAAAATTATGTCTCTCTGATGCTAATATACATTTCTTATTAACAGATACAGATGAACAGCTTTTAATGTCTTAAAATTCATTAATGTTTCTTATTGATTGAAAAATTTCTTTTTGTATTTCACACATACAATTGTGGCTTCTTCCCCTATTTCTCTTAAAGAGCTCTTCTATATTATGTAAATTACTTGTCTCTGGGTCATAGATATCAAAAATTATATTATTTTATTTTTCTTTTTATTCAATTTTCTTTAGCACATTTGCTGAATATTTATCAAAGTAAATCTTATTAATAATGGATAAATGTTATTAATATTTTTATTTTGTACAAAATATCTTTTAATATTAATTGCTTAATATTAATTTATTCATGTATTTTCATTAGAACGTTTCTCTTGTAGACAACATAAAATTGGATTTTGTTTTTCTATCAATTCCAATAATTTCTTATTTTTATTGAAAGGCCCTATTTAAATTTAATGTAAATATAGTATGATTAAATTTAGCTGTTTTTTTTTTTCTGCTCTCTGTTTTATAATTCTCTCATCTAATTGTATTTGTTGTAGTGGTTCTTTTTTTAAATTTCTATATTCGTCTTCTTTTCTGTTAAATATGTTTAATATTCCATATCAATGCTTAAATTTGCTTTCCAGTTACAATTGGCATTATTTTTAAATTGTTAATATTGATTAAAATATTCACTTCATCATTACAATTTACTTAAAGTTAGTATTGTTAAAATATAGACATTTTACAAGAGCACATATTTTTCTTTGGTGTCTTCTTGATTTTCTTTTCATCCTTGACTTTCAGAAGTGTTACTATAATAAGCTCAGTTATATTTTATTTAATAATTTTTGATTATTTGGATTACTACAAGCTAATGCTAATCATCTTATTTAAATGTTTTAGGCCATTATTTATGAAAATAAATTTTCTGTCTCTCAGCTCATTTTTGCTCTTGGATTTATCTGAGACAAATTATGTGTTTGACAACTTAATTTTTTCTCTCACGTCTCTCAGGCTCTGTTTATTTTTCTTCAAACATTTTCTTTATATTATTCAAGATAAATGTTCATCTTAAGCAATTAACAAATTCCCTGACTTTTTCTTCTGTTATCAGCAATCTGCTTTTGTCAATATAGTGAATTTTTTAAAAAGATAATTATTGTATATTTTAGTTTTGGAATTTTCATTTGGTTATTTTTTATAGTTTCTATGTCTTTTTGTCTTTTTTTCTGTCCACTTACTCATTAAGACCAGATTTTCCTTTAATGCTTTGAAAATATTTCTAGTTATTTAAATATAGTCACAATAGCTAGTTTATTTGTCTGACATAATAAGTACATGAAGTCAGCTTCTATTTTGTTGCCCCCTTTTCTTTTTTTTCCTGATTGTGGTCACATTTTCTGTTTGTACTCATGTACAATGAATTTTATTTGAAAACTGGACTTAGGGGTTAATGTGACTTAATGGCTTTTAAATGTTCAGGTGTTTGTTTGTTTTGTTTTGTTTTAGTAAGGTAATCTAGTACAAACTGCAAAATTGATCTCCTAATTGGTGACTATTGATGTGCCTGCTCAGTTATTTCAGCTTCCAGCCCCTATTTTCCTTTCATGACCTCCTTTACAATTTACAATCATTGCTATACTAGTTTAAGGTATTAGAGAATGGAGTTTAGGGCTGATAGAGCCCCAAAATTAAAGTGGAAATTTAGCCATTTTAATTTCTTTTGAATTACATGATTACAGAATAAAGTTTAACAGTTTTTTAAAATTGTTTTTGGACTTAGCACATACCTCAATAGTTTTATTCTGTCAAGTTCTTTCTGTGATTACTCTACTAACAAGAGTTACAAAAGATCAATTTATTCAATTTTGTTTCCCATTTTAAAAGACTGATTTTTAAATTTTGTTTAAATCTACATTTATGTAATGTATCATCGCCTCACTCTAAATCTATACAACAAAGTGCATTGAGAGAAATCTGGTTTTAATCTATGGTCTTCAGTCCGTGGTCTCTGTCTTACTTTATGGTTTATCTCTTTTTTAAATGTTAGTATTCATTGTATTATTTATTTAAAAAGGAAATTTTATATATATATATATATGTATGGTCATTTTGGCACAGTACATTTATGCATCAATATACAGAAAATTAATGTTTACATTTTATTTTGAATCTGCAGGGAAAAACCTCAACAACCCCCCCCCCCCAAAATCTATATACTATTTTACAGTAACTTTTGTTTTAATATAATAATACAATCAGAACTCAATGACTGATTTTAATTATTTTAAAATTGTTGAGTCCTGTGTAAAGGTCCAGAATGTAGTATATATTTGGCATGGCATATATTTCATAATATCTTGAAAAATGTATATTATGCTTTTTTGGATATGGTGCCCAATAGATGTCAATTATATTCTGTTGAGTGTTTTGCTTCACATATGTTAGTAGCTCTAGTGTTTGGTGCATACACATTTAGAATTGCTACACCATCTTGGTTTATTGATCCTATAATTATTTCATATTGCTCCCTCTTCCTGGTAAGTTTCTTTGCTCTGAAGTCTACTTTATCAAATAGTAATAAAATAACCCTTGATTTCTTATGATTAATGTTTACTAGACACTTCTCTTTTCATCCCTTGACTTTCAACATATTTATAAGATATTTGAAGCAAATTTCTTGTGAACAGCCTATGGTGGTCCCACTAATATACTCTGATAATATCCTCGCTTTAGTTGGTATATTTAGAGTAGTTGTATTTAGTGTAATGATTAATATGCTAGTGCTAAAGTCTGCCTTGCTCTCTCTCTCTCTATATATATATATATCACCTCATTCATATATGTATATTTATTGTTTGTTTGTTTCCCTGTTTTTATTTTTTCTGTTTTCCCTCAGGATAGGATACTTCAACTTTGATTTTTATTTATCTATAAGTATTTTGAAGTATATTTCTATGTCTAAAAATGTTGAATTTGAGTCATTTTTAAAATTATCTTTGGTGCTTATTTTGTATATTTTCTGTCTTCTTTTGACCAACATACTTTGAAAAACATACTAAAAATTATTTAATTCATTTTTGTTGAAAGAGCTCTACATTCTTTGGAAATATAAAATAAGGTTTACCTATTTAAAATGCCATCTATCTATCATCTGTCTATCATCTATCTGTATATATGTATTATATATTACATTATGTATTATTATATATTATATTATATATTATATGTATTATTATATATTATATATGTGTTATATTAATATTTTTGCTGTTACATATAGTATTTTTATATCATATCTTGATGTAGCTGCATCTATTTTCTAATGTATAAACTTATTTTAGTTTCTAGTTAAAAGATTTTCTGGCTTTATAAAGCAAGATATTTTTATACCTTTAAATTTGAGAATATGCCTACTTTTAAAATGTTAATAGAACACTTAAAAATGTTTATACATTAGGGCCAGGAGTGGTGGCTTACACCTGTAATCCTAGCACTTTGGGAGTCCAATATGGGTGGATTGCTTGAGCTCAGTAATTGAAGACCTGTCTGAGCAACATGGCGATACCCCATCTGTACTAAAAATGCAAAAAAATTTCCCTGATATAGTGACGTGCATCTGGAATCCCAGCTACTTGCAAGGCTGAGATGGGAGGATCACTTGAGCCCGGGAGGAGGAGGTTGCAGTGGGCCAAGGTCATGCCACTGCACTCCAGCCTGAGTGATAGAGCAAAATAAATGCTCTATCTCAAAATAAAATAAATAAATAAACAAATAAAAATAAAAAATTGACATATTAAGCCACAAAATCCTTAACAAATCTGGAAATAAGTTAAATTTAACTTTATGTTAATACAATAAATATAACTTTAAATATGAATTTACATTAAAGCATAAAAACTAAGATAAAAACACAAATATGCAGCATCTTAAACTATTTGTAAAAGTCACATAAGCATATTCTGTTAAAGAATGTTGGGTTAGCTTCAAAATATTAAAGATGAAAACAACATTTTTCTAAAGTCTTAAAATTTTGTTAAAGAATAGCTTACATTAAAGATCATATAATTAATGCTGTTAATAAATAAGAAAGATGAGATAAATTGAACATTTATGTAAACAACTTAATACATGAGACTAAGAATGAGGATAGCATGCATAGAAGAGAATGACTTTACCTGCACTATTTTTAATTTTACAATAAGTATTATTCACGTTACTCAAATACAAAAAAAGAAAGATATGACAATTCACTACAAAGGAAAGCAGTTCAATAAAGACAAATTTTAGAATGAGTAAATTAGAAAGCAGAAATGTAATTGAGTTCATTAATGAGCATAAAACTTATTCTTAAAGAAATATAAACAATTTGTTCTTCTAATCTAAAAGCTCATCAGTGACCATTATGCAAAATTTAAAATAAAGTTGGGGAAATATTTTATTATGCAAAATTTTGCTTTATTTAAAAATTTTATAGAAAATATTTAATAAAATAACTTATTGGGGGTGCTTAATTTTATAAATTTCAGGCAGTTCCTCAACATGTTTAAAATAATAATTTTTAAAAATCTGTAAATGATTGACACATTACCTGAGAACCATTAATATACATCACCTTATAAATATTTGAACTTCTATCTGTACTTAGTTTATGTGAACCACCTTCATTTTTATTTTTACACTAAGTAGGAATCATGTAAATTCTAATCCTACAACACATTACTTTTTGCCCTGGAACAGACACACACACACACACACACACACAAACACACACACTCATAAATACACACACTCCTCTTCTCTTCATTTCTTCTTCTCTGTACTCACTGGCTGAAGATTTTATTTTGCTTCATGGTTTAAGTATCTCCTATAGTTAAAAATTTCCAATTTTTTTACACTAAATCTTAGATTCAGGTTTGTATGTTCAGTAACTTACTTGACTTCTAGTAGACACAACTTACCTAATCCGTGGGAAATTGAACTGTTCTCCCTTTAAATCTGCTCGTCTTAATTTTTCCAATACAGTAAATAGAATATATCTCTTACGCTTTTCAAGTCAACATCTTACAATGGTACTTTCTTTCTCTATATACAAACAAACTACCAAGAAACATTCACACTCTATCAAGAAAGAGCTCCAATGTATTCAGTGTGCAACCATTTTTCACATACCTTTTCACTGACTATAAGATACATATATGATCTGGTCCTCTTCTAACTTTTTTGATTCTTTTTTAAATTTACTCCTCTTAAACCATTCTATTATATCTACACTTGCATTCTTGATTTTCTTCAAGCTATTGCCCTTCTAATTTATAGCACTTGCTAATATCTGCTGTATTACCTGTTTTTGTATATTGATTTCCCCTTTTCTTAAATACAGCCTTACTTAATCACTCCTATATGCCCATAGCTTGGAATTATGGGTGGCACATAGTTATTTGTAAAACATTCATTACATTCATTAAAAATTGAGTAGTGAAATACCTAATCATTCCCAAATGAAAGTGCCTATGATGTTCAAAGAAAGATGTATTTCTAAAATTAGAGTAGGGACATTGGTCTCAATCTTCTAATATTAAAAGGGGGCAAAAATCTGGCATAGTCAAGTATGGAAAACATTCTATGCCAGAGAAATGAGGTCTACTGGTCATGTCTCCACGCCACATATGATGGTCTAGTATCTTCTTGCAAAAAAGCAGCATGGCTTAATTTCAAGAGAGAAATTAAGGTTGCGAAAACAAGAAGATAAGTTAATGGAAGAAATAAAAAATAAATTATTGTGATTCTGTTACATGCCAGACAATGTGTTTAGTGGTAGTATAAATAGTATTTCAAAATATCCTTTATTTTTTCAGAGCAGTTATTGAAATTCAGTTGTTCAGATTTATTTAATAACAAGTTACAGACGAAACAATGTAAGGGTGACAAGTGGGGATGGAAATGCTGTTCTGTCTAATCTCAGAATTCATGTTATTTGCTCAAAACCAAGTTACCTCTTGCCTGGATAACTTATGTGAGATGATTTTCAATACAAGATGAATTGTCTATTTTGAAATCACTAATGTAGTCAAAGAGGCATTCCAGGTTTTGAAGAATATATAATATGAGGCAGAATAAAATTCAGACACTGTCCAAAGATGAGATAAAATATCAACATCAGTCAACCCAACAATAAAACCACAACAGAAAACCCAACCAACAAACATTGATAATAGTTTTCTTTACACGACCTATAGTTGAAATGTAGGATGCACGTCAAATTAAGCTGTTTTCAGAAGTCAGTATGCATTATCTCCCACATTATTTGGGGGCCATATAGAGACTCTTTTACAGAGCTATTAACCAGGTATTCAGAAATACAGGCTGCCTTTTTGATGTACATGTATAAAATTAAGACATAAAATTACTACTTTAAAATTTCTTCTAGTAGTTTTTTGTTTTTCACCGACTATTCTTTCTTTTATTTTTTTCTTTTTTCGTTTTTCTATCTTTTTTTTTTTTTTTTGAGACAGTCTCACTCTGTCACCCAGGCTGTACCAGGCTGTAGTGCAGTGGCACGAACTTGGCTCACTGCAACCTCTGCCTCCTGGGTTCAAGTGATTCTCCTGCCTCAGCCTCCCAAGTAGCTGGGATTATAGGTAAATGCCACCACGCCCAGCTAATTTTTGTATTTTTAGTACAGACAGTGTTTTGCCATGTTGGCCAGGCTGGTCTTGAACTCTTGACCTTACACGATCAGCCTGCTTCGGCCTCCCAAAGTGCTGAGATTACAGGCGTGAGCCACCTCGCCCGGATGACTATTCTTAAATGTGATGGTGAGCCCAACTATTAAAAATATTCAAAGAGTCGTCAAGAGCAAAATTTGAAATTATCATTTTTGCAGTAAAGATGCTGGATTTCTGGGGTGATTTATACCATTAATACCAAAAATTGTTACAGATATCAATATGAAAATGAATGGATGAGGCTAGGGTTCTAAATTGAAGTGCTTGGCTAGGTTTCACTGGGAAGTGTGTTTTCTACATGATGCTCAAACAGGTGAGGAGAAATTCTGATGTGCTTGAAAATGTATCTGAAACTGAGAATTAAGGCAAATAGCTGTATTGTATTTCTATCTAGTAATTTCATTACAGGAGTAAAGTCCATCCAAATATTACCTAAAGAAATGTTCCTAGTTTGATTCATTATTTACTTACTTAGTATGTTCCTAAAAAGTCATTATTTATGAATATGTAGGGCAATAATAAGTTTTAGACACAATTCAGCAAGTATCTCTATAAATATCCTAATTTTTCAAATGCTTTTCAAGTGAGCCGTAATTCCTTACTCATACATCATTAAAGTTAAATACAGTTTCTGTAACATTCATTTTAGATTTACATTAAAGTCACAATTTTACTTTTTTTGAAAAATGTGATTAGACACTTCATTAATTAATGGATTAGGTAAGGTTTTTGACACGTTTTTATACTCTGAATGCTTATATATGTTGAAATCCTAGCCCTAAATATTGTGGTATTAGGAGGTGGGCCGTTTGGGGATAAGTCATGACAGTGAAGCTCTCATGACTGGGTTTAGTGCCCTTATAAAAGGGACCCCAGAGAGCTCTCTCATTCTTTTCCCACCATGTGAAGATAGAAGGAAACTAGCCTCCAAAACTTTGAGAAATAAATTTCTGTTGTTCATAAGACATCCTGTTTATGGTACTTTATTATTACATTTGAACTACTAAGGCAGATGTTTATTTTATATTTTTAATGGAGTCATGATTTAACCCTTTTGAATATTTTATTTTTAAATGTATGCTCAAAAGAGAAGAAAAATTCCAGCTGGAAAATCTGCACTGTGTCATATCCAAAAGCTGATAATAGAAGGGTGAACAATGAGCTCATCTGCTAAGAGAAATGAAAATAAGAAGGAATCAAATGGAATGAACCATTCAAATAAAGTGTTTCTAAAGAAAAAATATGCAGAATGAGAGAGGAATGGTATTTACCTTTCCTGTCAATCTTAGATGGGTGGCATTGGGGTAGAGTATAGTGCTTAAGTGACCTTGGCAGAATAAGGAAAGGTATAGATTTGTCAATTTTTAAAAGTGATTGACAGGTTTGTAAAAATACTCATATTTTAAAGTTCAAGAGCCCTTTGTTACTAAATAAATATGATCTCATAAGAGATAATACCAACTAGTTTAATTCACTGTTTTTCATGTTCTTATTTACGTGCCTTTATATTATCTACACTGTCTGCTCCTTGATAGCAGGGACTTTATCTGAATCACCACTGTATATGCAGAGCCCATCAAGGAAGCTTGGAAAAAATAGATGATCAATAATGACTGCATGAATGAATACGGGAAAATGCCAATTTGTCTACTGTCTTCAACCCACGAATTTGGTCTACTTTCAATATCTTATCTTCTGTCTTCTGTGATTCAAATGGTACCTAAATCTCAGGCTTTCCGTTATTCTTTTTAATTTTTTTTTTATTTTACTTTAAGTTCTGGGATACATGAGCAGAACGTGCCGGTTTGTTACATGGGTATACATGTGCTATGTGCATGCGGGGCTGAAAACCTAGATGATGGGTTGATAGGCTTTCTGTTATTCTAATACAATGTGTTGTTTTCTTGTAGCCACCTCGTTCTCCATCTCCTACATATTAGTAAGTACCTGAAGAATAGATACTTTATTTAACTGTTGTAAGCATCACCTAGAAACTGGTACAAAATAGTGTCAATAAATATTTGGTGAACTCAACTGAATGTGTTTACACAGATTAATAATTATTGAGATTAAAAATTACCAATTATTAATCAACAGAAACAGATCTTGATAAATTCCTTTGTCTATACTACTTCCTCTCATTTTACATTATCTTATACATCCCAACACTTTGCTGAATTTATAAATTCGCAATTTTCAGTAGCTGATTGTCAAACTTATAGTGATAATCTCTTATTCAATACCTATAAACTTTTGATTTGTCAGTTTTTCCACATATCTATAACACATTCCCTTTCTACTCACTTGACTCGATGTTCTATTTTTTAATATAAGCTCAAAATGTTTCAAAGACTCTCAGGAGTTCTCCCAGGTCATGTGAAATATAAAAAAGTAATGAATCATCATAAAATATACAGGTATAGTTTATTTAATTTCAAGATAAATCACTAAGAGCAATTATAAATGTGTAAAAATTTGCTCATTTTTTAAAAAATTCAATTTTATTATAATTTAAGAAGAAGCCATAAAAGACAATATAAAGCACTAAAATAACTTAGCATGTGTTAACTCTATTCCTTCTTTCATATACGGAAAGATGGCTTGGGTTTTTGTAATACATCTTGTCTATAAATGCACATAAAAATTAATTCCAAACAATGACAATTTGCATTATAATAGAGAAATACTGTAAGTATCTTAATATTGTTGTACAATGGCATACATTGTCTTGACAATTGTTACCAATTTTCAATGATTGTCACTTTGTCCTACAGAATTAATAGGCCTGTGCTGTTTAGTTATTTCTGGAACAAACATGTATTCTAATAAGCAGCATAAATCTCATGATATAGTTTAAATGTAGGAGCAGTCTCAGAAATATAGGTGACACTAACAGCACAATTTTATTATTTGACTGCACAAAGTGCAGTGCTGCATAATATATATATTTGTGTATGATTACATTTTCTTTTTTTTTGAAAAAAATGTTTTGCAGTGAATAAAAACATTGAGGCAGCATACTGAAGAAACCACAAGATACAAATTAAGATCTTTGATTTAGTGTGTGAAAGTAGTGTTCAGCAATCAAAATATAGGTATTGGATAAATGAGTTACTAATACTATGCAAATAATTCTGTACCTTGTATGAGATGAGATTTCATTGTGAATTCGATCTCTTTAGATGAGCACACCTGCATTTTATTGCAGTGTTAGGTAAACACAAGTTTTATCAACTGCTTAAGGTGTTTTCCAATTGAGAATCAAAGCAGACTCTTAGAAACTTTCAAAATATACTCCAGCAATAGCAAATTGATACTGCATAACATCCAAAATGGTTTATTCATCCTAATTCAATTTGATTCCTTCTTGAAAGACCTTTACTATATTCTCTGATAAATTGAGCAATTAAAAAAGTTAACCATCAGGGACATGAAAGCTCTCCTAGAAAACATTCATCACCCTTTTTCACTATGAATAAAAGCAATGTCTATTGTGACCTTAGAATCTGTTTTAGTAAAAAGAGAAAAATATGTTTTCTAGAGGAAGTAAGTGGTAACAAATTGTGAAAAGAAATATTATAAGATATCTCTAAAGAGTTCTCATGTGAAAGCCCATTCTACTTTGGTAAGGAGTTTGGTGGAAAGATGCAATGTAAATGAGCACCATCAATAACATTAATTACCTACTGCCTCTGCAGATGTGTGTATTACAGACACCAGGCCAGACGGATTTTACTAAAGCAAGACAAACCCCTGAATCATACAGCCAAGAAGGGCAAGCTCTGTGATAGAACCAGTTAAAGCTGACTTTATCACTGAAATAGACTTTTTATCAGATTAAAAATGCAAAGGATGCCATCAAGCCTGCAACGCTAGACAAGACAATACACAGTACCATAGAGAAGCAGATCTCTAGTTTGTAGAATCCTTCATGCATTTTGGAAACAATGCAGGGAATAATACAATTAATGATTGATAACTACTTGTTTTATACTTTATCACACTCAATGACCCTGTATCTAACAGATTTCCTAATTGCAATACTCTTCCTAACTTCTTTGCTACTCATGTTAACAATTTTTGTTGTTATATTCAGTAGACATACAAAGAGACAATGCATTTTATTGACTTGGAGAGATATATCAATTTAGATAGAAAATACATTGTCTAACAATATTGTAATTTTAGAAAGTATATCCATTCTTTCATGTAAAAACATAATAAACACATAAAAACAAAGAACATGAAAAAAGTGACAGCATCACATTTTGGGAATCTACCAAGGAGATGGCTGATTGGTTACTGCATAAGTAAACCAGCAAGAGTAGTATCAGTCCATTCATGGGGAAAATAAATTAAGAAGCCTGAGGATATATGCAATTGCAGCTTAGGATTCCATGTGCCATCTACTTTTGAAAGTAGGGATACAGGTTGTCCTAAACAAGAATGAGTATTTAAAAAACATGAGTAACAATTTAGTGTAATGGTGAAGAGAAGTATCTTGGGCCAAACTTCTTTTATTTATTTATTTATTATTATTATACTTTAAGTTTTAGGGTACATGTGCACATTGTGCAGGTTAGTTACGTATGTATACATGTGCCATGCTGGTGTGCTGCACCCACTAACTCGTCATCTAGCATTAGGTATATCTCCCAGTGCTATCCCTCCCCCCTCCCCCAACCCCACAACAGTCCCCAGAGTGTGATGTTCCCCTTCCTGTGTCCATGTGTTCTCATTGTTCAATTCCCACCTATGAGTGAGAATATGCGGTGTTTGGTTTTTTGTTCTTGCGATAGTTTACTGAGAATGATGATTTCCAATTTCATCCATGTCCCTACAAAGGACATGAATTCATCATTTTTTATGGCTGCATAGTATTCCATGATGTATATGTGCCACATTTTCTTAATCCAGTCTATCACTGTTGGACATTTGGGTTGGTTCCAAGTCTTTGCTATTGTGAATAATGCCGCAATAAACATACGTGTGCATGTGTCTTTATAGCAGCATGATTTATAGTCCTTTGGGTATATACCCAGTAATGGGATGTCTGGGTCAAATGGTATTTCTAGTTCTAGATCCCTGAGGAATCGCCATACTGACTTCCACAATGGTTGAACTAGTTTACAGTCCCACCAACAGTGTAAAAGTGTTCCTATTTCTCCACATCCTCTCTGGCACCTGTTGTTTCCTGACTTTTTAATGATTGCCATTCTAACTGGTGTGAGATGGTATCTCATTGTGGTTTTGATTTGCATTTCTCTGATGGCCAGTGATGGTGAGCATTTTTTCATGTGTTTTTTGGCTGCATAAATGTCTTCTTTTGAGAAGTGTCTGTTCATGTCTGCCCACTTTTTGATGGGGTTGTTTGTTTTTTTCTTGTAAATTTGTTTGAGTTCATTGGCCAAACTTCTTGAGGTTTTCAAAAACTGTGTTACCTTGGGCAAGTTGGTTAGACTATCTCTACCTCAATTTTTTCAATAGGATTACCTAACGCAAGGGTTTGTTGAGAGAATTAAAGGAATTAATAAGCACAGAGTCCTTGAGCAAGTGGCATGTAGTTATGACTCTATGGGTGTTGAGATGATTATTATTTATATAGGTTGCATACAAAACAGTTATTTAAACACTAGATTCCATTTTTAATCCTGCCCCAACAAGGCAACTGTGCCAGATGACATGAAGTTATATTCTTTCTAGAGAATGTAGCATAGAAAGGCTCCCCCTAAAACATGTAATTGAAGGTAAAGAAATATGCCTTAATGAAAAGATGGGGATTAAGTAGAAGCCTACACAGTAAAGTTGATATCTTTAGCTATTTTAAATATCAGCTCCCTAAATACTAGCAATAATCTTTTTACTTCATAATCAGAAAAATGAAAAATTTATCTTTAGTTAAAATGATTCATTAAAAAGAAAAGGTCTAATAAAAGACTTGTTGGAAATATAAAAAATTAGCCGGGCATGGTGGCAGGCACCTGTAGTCCCAGCTACTCGGCAGGCTGAGGCAGGAGAATGGTGTGAACCTGGTAGGCGGAGCTTGCAGAGAGTGGAGATCGCCCCACTGCCCTCCAGCCTGGGCGACAGAGTGAGACTCCGCCTCAAAAAAAAAAAAAAAAAGAAAAGAAAAAGACTTTTTGGGAGAAGCTTGAAATACAAAGAAAAAACAAAACAAAACAAACAAAAACACATTAATGGCTTTGTAATACAACAGTATTCTAAACACCACATTATCATTTTTGGCTGATTTTGCCTTTCAATTTTAGTGAGTTTCAATGGTTAGTTTAGAATATGATGTGTTTTACCTCATGAATAGAAATTTTACAAATCTGGCAAAGAAAAAAAAAACCAAGCAATCAATAAAGTGTGACAATTAATGACTGCTGAGAAAACAAATAATAATACATTAAAAATACATTTAGAGGATAATGCAGGTGCATGGCTTGGCCATACTAATATATCCTCCCTCAAATCCCTAGGAACCCTGCTCTTTTACTCTCTCTGTGGTTTTCCCTTTTCCAGAATGCCATACAGTAAGAATAATACAAATATAAAGCCTTCTCAGAGTGCTTTTCTTCCCCAATATACCAATATACATGGAAGGTTTCCATATGTCTTTTGGCAATTTGGCAACTCATACAGTTTTATCACTAAATAATATTTCAATGTATAGACATACCGCAGAGTATCTGTTTACATATCTGTGGACATATTGTTTCCAGTTTTTGTCTATGATGAATAAAGCTTTGTAAACATTGATGTGCATAATTCTGTGTGGACATATATTTTCAACGAAATCGGGTAAATACCTAGAAGTGTGATTGCTGGATATGTGATAAGACTGTGTTTAGCCTTGAAAGAAATTGCCAAACTGTACTTCAAAGTTGCTGTATCATTATGAATTCCAACTATAAATGGATTGGAGTTTCTAGGGCTCTGAATTCTCGCTAGCATTTGGTGTTGTCAGCATTTTGGATTTTAGCCATTCTAATAAATATGCAGTCATATCTTGTTTTAATTGACAGTTATCTAATGATGTGTAATGTTGAGTACATTTTCAAATTTTCATTTGCCATCTTTATAATACCTTTGGTGAAATGCATGCTCAGATAATTGGCCTATTATTATAATCGAGTTGTTTGTGTTATTACAGTTGAGTCAAAAGAGTGCTTCATACATTCTTGATATAAATCTTTTATTATATATATGTTTAGCAAATATTTTAGCTTGCACTTTTATTCTCTCTCTCCCATTTTTTGACTGTGATTTTCTATATTCATAGGCCTATTCAGGTTTTGGGGTAGGAACTTGCCCTGTGACATCAGCTCTCTGATGGATTTAAAAATAGTTGTTTATTTTCAGTTTGTTCAGCTTATTGTTGTTTTGGTGAATACTGTAGTGATTATTTCCAAGCTCTTTACTTGTCAGGGCTAATACCATCTTGCAGATGACAGACCATGGGACTTCTCAGCCTCCATAATCATGTGACGCAATTCCTAAAACGAAATTATGTATGTGAAAAATATATTTCCTGTTGGTTCACTTTCTCTGGAGAACCCTGACTAATACAGTGGAGTTAATTATGTCTGCAAGTCCCTCTATTATGTAAAGTGACATATTCATAGACATGAAAATTCATAATATTCAAAGTCCTTGGAAGTATGGTGGGAAATTGTTTGTAGAAAGGAACATTTTCAGAATTTTGCCTAGAACACCTAAAAATAAGACATACTTATTCCTTTAAAACAATTGAATTCTAAGCAATATTCTAAAATCTGTTACCTATTTGTAATTTAAAAATCTATTTTGTTTATAACCTTATCTTTTATTTACTTATATATACAGATACATATTAAAATGTTTTCTAAATGTTAATAACAATAACTTTGGTTGAGAAATAAATTTATTTTCCCTTCACCATATATATGGTACGTTTTACTAATATGTAAACACCTCCAATAATTAGGAATAACATCATCAGGAAGATAAAGAAGTTCAATTATTTTCCAGAATTAGCAACTTCCAACTTAAAATTGAAAAGCAGAAAACTGATTATGTAACCCTTTTTTATTTTTATTTTTTGTTTTTGTTGAGTAGTTATTTCACAGCTTTTCAGTAAACATTTATTTTTGGTTTCCACATGCCAGAACCTTGGTTTCTGTATCAATCTCTAATTAAATTCCTGGAAGAAACTGTATCCAGAGGGTGAATGAATTATTATTGTATGGGATGGTACAGGACAAGGGCAGACACTCCAGCCAGGTTTGGAACTTTTATTCCACTGGGAGATAGAAAATGCCTCTCTCTAGTTCATCTAACTTCTTTCTGGAAAGACTTTGAGTGAATGCTTGTATTTATTTATTTGTTTATTTATTTATTTATTGTAGACAAGATCTCACTCTGTCACCTACGTAGAAGTGCAGTGGTTCAATCATAGCGCACTGCAGCCTCAAACCCCTGGCCTCAAGTGATCCTTCCAACGTAGGTCTCCCAAAGTGCTAGGATTACAGGTATGAGCCACTGCGTGCAGCCTAATATTCATTAAGGCTTTGTGCTTCACTTGCAACAGAGTACTTGCCCTAATTTACTTGATTAAGCTTAGTTTTCTATTTTCTAACATCAGTTTGCCTTTTTTGATTATTATCTTAGTGCACTTGCCATTGCTTGGTCGTGGGCCACTGCTTTTCGTTTTTAATTATTCAAATCAGAATTTTGCAAGGCTTTTGAACTTAAAGCCCTGCGTTTTTAGTTTTGCAAATTTAACATTCAATACCTTGGGCTACCAATATGTTTCATTAGTGAAGCATTTTGAAATTATTTTATTCCCAGTTATTAGTCAGTATCCTAGTTTATTGACTGTCGGCAAACACCCTTCAACATGAATTAATATACTATATCACTCAAGGGTAATTTCAAACCCATATCTGACAATTTTCTAGTTATTGTTACTTCAATATATATTTCAACTATTTTGCCTTTAATTCTCTACTGACAGTTATCTCCCCATGTGACATGTATGCACAATATTAAGCACAACATTAACTTCTTGAATTATAAAAAGTGATGTTCTCCTCAGTCTCAGTCTCCAGCTAAAACTGAAGGTCCACATCCAAGCTGATGCAGGGAGACACACAAATTTAATAGAAATAGCTGTTTTCTCTTTTTCTTAGTCCTTTTCCCACTTTGGTCTGGGTATTGGAGACATGTGAGGCAGGTAAATTGTGAAGTTCATTGTCTAATCTACAAGAAGAAGGTTACAGTCAACAACGAATGCTTGTCACTAAACTAGGTAGTGTAATTTTTCAGTATAAACCCAGTTAAAATAGCAATGTATTTTAATATTCTTCCTA